>NC_000014.9:78702622-78854137 GCF_000001405.40 Homo sapiens | reverse complement strand
AACACGTAATCAGAGGATGCTTGACTTTGGCTAAGTGGATTATTCCAACAGGTATAATTAAAGGTTGCCATATGGACTGTACAATAGATAGTTACAGATATGACAGTGATTTCAGAGGCATCAAAAGGAATCTACGGCTGAGCAAATACCTCTCTTACCCACAGCCTGAATATTGAAATTATACTCTTAGGCTTTAGCTCTGCTGTAATGCTTTAAGAATACAAATGCACTCTTTATTATGAGAGTTTCTCATACACTTTTCCTAAATCAGACTTTCACCTGGAGAAGAATGGCAGGTGCAGTGGGGAAGAGGACTTTGGGTACTAGGGAGACAAAAAGGGAAGGGTAGAAGTCAGGGCAGTGAGAAAGCAAAGAAATAGATGTGAACCTGAAGAGCTGTGGGTTGGAAAGATAAATAGCTTATTTCATTAGGAAAACTTTGAGAGACATAGTATTGCCAAATTCTAGAAAGTGAGTCAGTCCTTAAACGTGGACTAATTGTAGCCATGCATTGAATGTAATACACGTATTTTATCATACAAAATTTATAAAATTAACAAATATTATAGTAATAAAATTTTTAACTTATACAATTAACAAATGTTATAATATGTATTAAGAAATTACTGTATAACTAATGGGTACTAGGCTTAATACCTGGGTGATGAAATAATCTGACAACAAACTCCCATAACACATATTTAGCTATGCAACAAACCTGCACATGTACCCCTGCAAACTATGTGTCCATCAACAGATGAATGAATAAAGAATGTATGATATCATTCTCAGTAAACTATCACAAGGACAAAAAACCAAACACCGCATGTTCTCACTCATAGGTAGGAATTGAACAATGAGAACTCTTGGACAGAGGAAGGGGAACATCACACACCGGGGCCTGTTGTGGGGTAGGGGAAGAGGTGAGGGATAGCATTAGGAGATATACCTCATGTAAATGATGAGTTAATGGGTGCAGCACACCAACATGGCACATGTATACATATGTAACAAACCTGCACGTTGTGCATGTGTACCCTAAAACTTAAAGTATAATAGTAAAAAAAACCGTATGATACATGTATACAATGGAGTACTATTCAGCCATAAAAATGAATGAGATTCTGTCATTTGCATCAATATGGATGGAACTGGGGGTCATTATGTTAAGTGAAATAAGCCAGGCACAGAAAGACAAACTTCACATGTTCTCTTATTTGAGAAAGCTAAAAATTAAAACAAACTCAAAAAAAAAAAAAGAAACTAACCACACACACACAAAATGTGTTACACACTATATACATGATTCCACTTAATCTTTACTGGTGCCTAGGAGGTAGATGCATTAGCATTCTTATTTTATATATGAGAAAGCTCAGATTTGGAAAGATTCATTAACTTATTATTTAAGTTATAATAACTTAATAACTTATTATTTAAGTTAAATGGCAGAGCCAGTCCTAAAATGCTCCTCCACCTGACTTAAGAGTTTTGGGTCACACCTAACCAGAAATTCTAACAAAGGGAAGCAAATGTAAAAACATATGAACATAAAACACATGAACATATGAACATGAGATTCAATGTCACAGGCAACAGAATAAGAAAGTAGGTTGATTCAGAACTCAGATTTTATCTTCTAGCACGGTGATAATAACAAAACACTTCCAGACACCTGACTTAGAACCAGAATTTTTACACTCAAAAATAAGCTATATCAAATGTCCACTTAGACTCATGTCATTATAGTAATAAGCTAATTTATAATCATTGTTAATTATCAAATTGTCAGATGTTAATACTACAACAGCAGCAACAAGAATAATAAACCACTCTCTACCAGGAAAAACTGACTCATGCAGCCAATACCAGGCTTGCTTCGTCAGGGTATTGGCATATTAACAATGATGGATGTGTAAGCAAAGAGCTGTAAATCTGGATGCAGGGACTCTTGAACATCAACTAGAAGGAAGTGAGATGATCAAGTATTTTTCTCTTGCCAGATATCATTTCATATATTCACTAAAATAGTTCATCATCTGCTCTCTGAGGCAATGAAGTTGCTTAAGTAAAATTACTATGGCTGCCCTATTTATTTCAGTTACACCCAGTTGAAAAAATAATTTAATTTGAAGGAACTGAATATAAATTTATTCTTCCATATCTTTCTATAAAATAAAGGTCTATTAAGGTCTTTATATTTTAAGTGTAACCTAAAAACTCCTATTTTTTTTTCTGATAACCACAATTCTTGCCACATGACAGCCTCAAAGATGCTTTTGCTAGAATAGCTATATGCCAAAATGTTGGATATTTAAAATACAGTTCTGCCTCTGACCTTCTTGTTGACACAAACCCTGTAACATTTTTCTAAGAATCATTCTGAATTCTGATGCTGCTAAGAGTTAACATTTATTTCTCACTTTCGTTGTTTCCTTCCATCTGAGTGACATGCCTGGCCTCCCCAGCTTGATTCAGATTGTGAATTCATCAGATTGGTAGAGTCTGGGAGACGACTAACTCTCCTGGCTGCCAGCCTGCCTGTGGTAAGCACACTTTTTGCTTTGCTCCTTCTTGCTGAAAGTTTTACCGGTACAGGCATCCAAAGAAGAAAAGACCTGTGGTTGAAGGTTGACTGATTCTGAAGTGATGTATTAAAACAAGTCTGCTAATCTATGAGATCTAGGCCACACTCTCTAACACAGCCTTTACGAGTGATGCACTCAGGCAGTGCTGTCCCAAGACTGTTTGCACTGGCTTGCAAGAGCCAAATATATGAACCTCTGCCCAATTTCAAGTTCAGTGACATCCCATTGGCATCTTGAATTTCACCAGGGAGGGAGTATTTATACCGTAAAAATATGTCAACACTATAAATCAGTCTCCTCTCTTCTAAAAGGAAGAAAATTAAACATTTACCAGTATATCACCAAATAGAAGCTATATTTTGATCTCCTTCCCTCTGACTTGTGTATTTTGATAATAAATTCAGTAAAGGGACATTATCTACTGCACTATACCAACCTCCAACAATTACCAAAGAATTTCCTACTTCATATTTCTCCTAACTGTCAGGGAAATAAAAGGTTTTACAAAAGATATCTGTTTAGTCCTGCATAATTCAGCTCAAAAAGAGAATAAATACAGAATCTTAAAATACTGTCAAATTGTAAAGCAAAATAAAACCTACAACCGCTTAAGAACACTTTTGGAAACTGTTCATAAAACTCTTCCCTGAAAGCAGTAAAACAGAAGAATGTTAGTTTTCTTTACTTCCTCTCATTCTTTCCTGTAATATTTCATGTGCCTTTATAATTTTAATGCATGGCTTTCTTTTTCATAAGAGGTTTGTTTACCCCTGAAAAATCCAAAGCTGCAGTTTAAGCAGATTCTACCCAGCGGTGGTGGTATTTCGGTCACATGATCTAAATTATAACATTTTTGCTCCACTTGCAATTCTGATGGTTTCCCTGCTCAGTCTTCTACAAGGCTATAACCAGAAATTTTCATCACTTTGTTTATAAAAAACATACAACATTTTAATTAAAACAGCTGCATGAAAATCACCACTGGTTTTAATAAGAATATTCTAAAGCAACTTTAAAAGTAAAGCTTGACTGAAGTGAATACGTGTAGATACCTTTCTACATTTTACCTTTCTATTTAACCTTTTGTTCAAAGGACACACCAAATGTTAATCCGTATTCAAATGTACTATGGTTAGTTTTAACCCCTGGGCTAACTTGAAATCACTATGGACTCCGTCATGCAGTGTCTTAGAGAGAATACTAACTTGGTAAAGGCCTGAGGTATTATGGTCACTTTGTCACTGAGAGACCATATAACCTTGGGTGAGTTCTGTAATTTTGCTAGGCTTGTTCTCGCATCTGTAAAATTAGTCTATAAGGTTTCTAGGCCCTTCCTGCTCTGGCATTACAGGAGCCTCTCTCTTTCTCTTTCTCTTTCTCTCCCTCTTCCTCTCTCTCTCTCTGTCTCTCTCTCAGGTATTAGTGGCAGCCTACTGCCTCTATCTCAGCTACAGGCACATTAACATAACCTGCCGTGCATTGTTTGAGTTAATTAAAGGGAAGTGATTACATTTTGCCTTTTAAACCTTGCTGAACTCAAGTTCTATATCCCTTCTCCATATGTGGTACATCAAAGAATACAGTGCTCTGGCACAGGGTCTTATTGTTCCTGTTCTCCATGAAATCTTTGCTGTCAACATTTCTTTCCACCCTTTCCTTCGCAAATAATTAGATGGGGTAAATTCCACTTAAAGCTTTGTGTTCCTCAAACTCTCCACCTCCTTTCTCATTCAGGCTGGAATCTTTGTTCTATTTTCTGAAGCCCCTTTGAAGAGCAACATGTTGGCTCTGGGTAACAGTATTACCTCTCCTTTCTTTCCACCCTGCACCCTACCCCCAATTCCACTCCTTCCCTCCACGAGATAGAGAGAAACAGCTTGAGATAGTCATTTCAGTGATAGGTTGCATTAAATAAAATGATAGTATTTTTTTCACATAGAACAGAACATTTTGAACTAAATTTAAACAACATTTTTAGCGTAAGATGTAAACTTATGTCATTATTATCCCCACATCTCAGTTAGCTCTTGTGGGACATCATGGAATTTTTAGAACTACCAGACCTCTAGGTTGGAGGGCCCCTGGGTGTCATCTGGTCCAAATATCCATCTGATTCATAAACTTGCCTTGTAATTCTCCTGCCATTGGTCCTTCAGCTTCTGTTTGTGCACACCAGCAGCTGGAAACTCACCAGTTGAATGATATGCAGCCTGGGGACAACTGAGACTTTCCTTGCACTCAACTTCTACATCCTGGATTTAGATAATGTTTGTGTATCTGAGTCTAAAGATACATTATCTTCTCATCCCAAGTGAACAGATTGGGAAAAATGGTCAAAGAGAAGCTAACTAACTTGCCTGAGGACTCTCAGAAGTGTCAGAACTACGATTTGAATACAGACCCACTCCTTAAGTCCAGAGGCTATACTGTCTCTAGCTTCATAATGAATACCTAAGATGTCCTTGTGATTCAATTGATATTAAACCACTTTAAATATTAATGTGATTTTTTCTTATCTATTTGCCAAGTTTTCTCTGTGCATAATTACTTACCACTGACTCTCAACTCTTGCTTGCTACTGACTTCAAAAACAAACCCACTCCTGCTCCCGTGGCCCCTATATTTCAAACGTTCACTTTCATTTCCTTTATCTGTTCTAATCTTACCCATCCTTCATGGCTTGGGGTAAATTCATCACTTCCAGCAACTCCTCCCAGCTACTCAATTCAGCAACAAAGGGGGTCTCTCTTCTGTAATCTCCTTTTGCCTACAGAAACAAATTGCTGGCTCCCTCTCACTAAATAAATATTCTCGAGATCTGAATCCCACAAAGTAATGACAACTTAAGTTGCTATCAGTGCCCAACTGGGCCTGCTGCAGTTTAAGAAGTGTTGAACAATTTCAGAAGATGAACCTTAATACCTTAAAGACTTTCTTCTATTATTTCATCTGAACATGCTTGGAGTAGCAGATGCATCGATAACTTCATGTACAAGCTGGAATAAATAAAGTATTCTAAAACTCTCCAACTAATTTGACATGTCCTTCTCTAATCTGAAGGCACGGCCTGTAATGGCTCATTGGCTTAGCAGGTGCATTTCTGCATGCCAGCCGCCAGAGGGCTTGCTTTCCTTTCTTTTAACGGTTATCCAGCACCTGACACAGAGCCTTTGGAAAGGTAAATCAGCTTTTGCCAAAGCTTCTTCAGTGACACCCCTTCATCCATGCCACCTGTGTCAGAACATGGAACACTCAAATTATCCCAGTCTCTATATAAGAGAAGAAGATCCCTGAGCATCCTCCATTCTTAAACTCGCTCACTAAACATAGAGAATTCCAGGGGAAAGAAGAAATGGCAGTACTGCGCTGGTGGGTGAAGGGAGGATAAACTAGCAACAGATACCAAAGCCCACATCTGCCCCACCATGTTCAGTGTTATCCCCTCCTATTGCAGTGAGACTGAGCCTTGGGTAACTCTTAGATTCCTTTCCTCCTCAGATTCTAGGCAGATAAGTTCTTAGCCAGAGGCCGGGGGTGGAATTCTATTAATATCCCTTATTCACTGCAATGCCCCAAATATCTTGAGAACCAGATTTCCTTTCCCATGTGAAAAGACAGCCTAACTTAGTTCTTTCCTAAATCCTCTGACAGTTTTACAAGTAGGGTGGCGAGTGACCTTTCTTTCTTTGAAAAAGTGTATATAGATGTGCCTATTCATAGAAATCTGACAGAGCTGACACCTGGTTCTCCAAAACGTAGTTGCACTCTCACCACTTTCCACTGACGTTTATAGAATATGATTATTTTTGATAGTGGGGGATAAAAGGGGAAGGGTAATCGGAATTGTAAAGCACAAGCTTTTATCCAAAATTTTCCCACTGTAAAATGAATCATATATTCAGGAGGGTGAGCAATAACCAAATGAGGTACAGCATCATTCTCTGCTCTTTTCCTGAGAAGAAATGCCTTTGCCTTTCCCTAGGAAGTGGCATACTGGCCCCTCCATGCTCTCACTTCACTCGATTTCCTCCTTCTCCTGGAGATGCTGATGCTTGTGTCCAGACAGCCACACAAAGCTAAGAGTACTTCGAGAAATGACAAAGTGCTTTTTGAACAGTACACAGCCCTGCTCTCTTAAGTGCTGGGGAAAGGCCATCAAATTCTGGGCAAGATGCAATTTGAGTCCATTTTGACATGTTGAAACTTAATGACTTTATTATGCTTCATGGTTTATAATTCAGTCACAAGCCGTGGCAGGTTGGGCACATTTTTTCAGACAGTTAAGAATTAGGAGGACTAAAGGCTGTCACCTTTACCAGATGGTCATTAACCGTAAATGTGTTGTTTAAGCAAGATATACTCTGGGGAGGAGGGGAGGGCTCTCATATGGAGTTTCATTGGCCATAATTCTCTTTATACCTACCTTTCAGGTAGAGGTAAGAGCTGCAGAGACGGAAGGTGTGCTGAAAGAAAAAGATTACCTTACCTATTTTCCAGCTGCCTTGAGCAACAGTGAGGGACCACATGTGCACTGTATGGATTAACTTGTAACATCAGAGACAAGTACCCAAGTATCAACAGCACATAAATTCAAGTCCGCATGCAATAGTCTTCACAACATGCTATGAGCTGGAGACCAAAATGGTGAGAAGAAACTAGGCACAGTGTTTCACTGAGATAAAATTGAAAAAGTAGGGATTAAGCAAAGGTAGAAAATAGAGAGAAGGTGCAGGACGCAGTGGGAAGGCAAACCACAGAGGTCTGAAGTAGCAAGGGAGACTTTGAGAATTAACTAAATTCATCTACCTACTTCTGCTGACCATAAGTGGTTTCATTTTTATTGCAGCATATTCAAGGGACACTGTCTAGGATCTGAGATCACCTCAGAGATGCTAGGAATCTCAACACTTGTGTTCAATGACACACCAGGGAAGCCAGGTTAGGAGACAGGAAAGATAAAGGAATTCATGGAAGGATTGCAACTTTATAACCACCTGTTTATGAGCAAAACCCAATCATAAAAGCAGCTGTAAGCAGAAAACATAGGAACATTATTTTGTCCTTTTGACATACATTATGGTATTTAAATCCCATAACAGCAGCAGAGATTGTAAAGAACTGATTGTAATTGTCATAATTAACCGTATGCAGTTCTCCACTACATTGTATAGCTTTGCAACTGGCAGACCTGATCAGGTATAAAAGAAAACACAGCTTTCAGAATCCCAGGAGACAGAGGAAATGACCCTTTTCCAATTCCTGTCATTCTCAATTACTGTGGGTAGAGGCAAGATAATTCCACAGCCATTTCAAATATGGAAAACATTCACAGAGAGGACACAATTGACATCTAAAATCATGTTAGCTTTGGGTTCTTTTTGCCATTTTGGATGTGATTTGAAAGTGGGAGTGTTGTAAAAGAATGAAAATGATGAGCAGATAGGATGTTTATGAGTACTGAAGCAGATGTTCTTGAAGTCATTTCTTGGAAGATGTGGAATGGCTGTATGAAAGCAAACAGACACATCTTAAGCAAATAAATTTACTTGGAAACTCAGAAGATCTCTAAAGCGTTGGCTGAGTAAAAAGTAAAATCTTTTATACACACACATACACACACACACACACACACACACACACACACCCCAACATACTCATACTGTCCTGAAATATCTTAACATCTTCATTATTTTTCTTTTAATAGCCTAAGGTAACCCAAAAACATATGAAGATATGAAAATAATATTTTTTCTATAGATCAGATAAAAAGAGACATAGGCAGATTATAATGTATCAGCTATAGAAGTGTGAGATCTTACACGCAGAATGAATACTCTCAAGTATATAAGTCCACAGAATATTAGAGTTGGAAGATACCTGGAAAGCAACATTACTCTACCTTTTGCCTACACTAATTGTCACCTACACATCAACTTTACTGTAGTTCATTGAATGAAAAAATAATAGACATTTGAGGTCAACATTCTTTCTATAAGCAGGAAGGAGGAGCAGAAGTCAGTGGGGAGGAAATCATATAAGTAGAAAAAAGAGAGAATTAAACAAGAATATAAATGCAATCATATGAAAAGGAGTAATATCTGAGAATTAAGAATACTAAAAGTAAGAATTTATAGAGGGATATATTAAAAGTTTATGTTTTGCAACATGCCTTAAATTACGTTGTTATTCATATCTATGAGTGTTGGCAACATTTCTTTACTTGTCTCCTAACTCAGAGAGTTATTTCATATAAAAAACTGTAAAATTAACACTATGTAGTAACACAAAAGTTGGCTATCATATTTGAAGTCATATTTTTTGATGAGTGTTTTGACTTGCAGATATAGAAAGTACAGTTCAATTAAGAGACTGGAATAGAAACCCTAAATGACTCAAACAATAATTCTGTAAAATGTGGATGATAAATTCTATACTACTCTTTATATTTTAATTTAGCCAATGAAGATCATTGCAACAGTTTTTTTTTCAGGCCTGTGACATCACAGACATCACTGGTTTGTTACTCAAACTAAAACTCATTATTATTTAAAGAATTTGACATCACATAGTAATATGTTTCAAAATGTGCTAGTGGTTATGAAGCAGTGGAAAGCAGACAGAGGAAATATTATTAAATGAGGCATGGCCAACAAATAATGGTTATCTGAATATAAAACCATTTTGTGGCTATTCTATGTATAATGGTGAACTAAATATAAAATCATTTTGTAGTTACTCAGTATATTAGTCAGGGTTCTCCAGAGGGATTAACCATCACACTCCAGAATATTTTTTCAACCAAATCATCAAACTTTAACAAATTCTTAACTAAGTATAGGCCAGCCTCACACTAGTCTTTAAAGTAGTTTAAAATCTGTTCTATCTATTGAATGCCTGGAACTACAGCAACTAATTATGCTAAGAACTGGGTTAGGTAACTTTACATATATATAAATACATATATTTACCACTTTTATTTCTTATTATAACCCTGTAAATTAGGCGTTATTATTCTCATTTTACAGAGCAGAAACCCTAGTTTTGGAGAGATGCAGTAACTTGCCCAATCATGGAAAGGCAGTCAAAGAACAAGAACTTAAATTCAGGTCTAGTGAGTTGAATGGCAGCCCCTGGAAAAGATGAGTCCCTGTCTTAATCCCCAGAACCTGTGAATCTCCAGAATGGATAAATGTTATCTCATATGGCAAAAGAGTGACTATTACCTTATATGACAAAAGGCATGATTAAATTAAGCATCTGGAGAGAAGGTGCTTATCCTGGGTTAGCCACGCATGTTCTAAATGCAATCACATGTATCCTTATAAGTTAGACGGAGAGAGAAGCAGAGACCCACAGCAAACACCATGTGAGGATGGAAGCAGAGTTTGGAGTGAAGCAGCAACAAGCCAAAGAGTGCTGAGCACCACCTGAAACTGGAAGAGACAAGGAATGGAGTCACCGTGAGAGCCTCTGGAGGGACTAAAACTTTGCCAGTGCCTTGATTTTAGACCTCCAGGCTCCAGAACTGCAAGAGAGTTTGTATTTTTGTAAGCCACCAGGTTGGTGGTAATTTGCTTGGAAGCCACAGGAAACAGATGCACCATGTCTTCAGACACCCTTTCTGTGACACCATTCAAGCTTCTTGACATCAGAATGCAAGGCTGCAGACCTGAGAATGTACTCTAGACATTCCTTATGTCAATGCAGACTTGGGGCCAGCCATAACAACTTAAAATCTAGGTCCTTCAGCCTATATATGAATTACTGTTCTTCATATTTGATTCAAAATGTTTCAACTAATACTAAAGCAAACCTACAGGAGCAGAAACTCCTAATTTCATGGAAGAACCTCCCTTCTTTATTGAGGGAAATGGAATTACCCAAGGAAAAGATGAAAAGAAGTGAAATGTTCCTTCCTTTGCTGCTCTCATTGAATCTACTTTGACACTGAAGAAGCAAATTCTGCCACTGATCTTTTTGCATGCTTAGTATTACGTCTGTACAAGTGAGGGTGAATTTCGCCTAAAAGATTTTAAGATTCTTTCTAGCTCTAAGAGTCTCTGTAATTATTTTTCTTTTTCTCAATAAATATGTGTTGAATAAAAGAACAAATCAACAAATGAAAACATTGCTATACATGGAGCCAAAGTCATTAAGCCTATTGTATTATAATAACAAGTATTTAAGCTAAAAAGAATACGTGTCTTACCAAAATATGATTCCCTGGGACAATAACCCAAACAGATGATAAATTGTTGCAGGAAGGCAGGGACCCCGAATGGAGGGACCAGCTGAAGCCATGGCAGAAGAATGTGGATTGTGAAGATTTCATGGACATTTATTAGTTCCCCAAATTAATACTTTTATAATTTCTTACACTTGTCTTTACTGCAATCTCTGAACATAAATTGTGAAGATTTCATGGACGCTTATCACTTCCCCAATCAATACCCTTGTGATTTCCTATGCTTGTCTTTACTTTAATCTCTTATTCCCATCATCTTCATAAGCTGAGGAGGATGTATGTCGCCTCAGGACCCTGTGATGATTGCACTAACTGCACAAATTGTTTGTAGAGCATGTGTGTTTGAACAATATGAAATCTGGGCACCTTGAAAAAAGAACAGGATAACAGCAATGTTCAGGGAACAAGAGAGATAACCTTAAACTCTGACTGCCAGTGAGCCAGGCAAAACAGAGCCACATTTCTCTTCTTTCAAAAGCAAGTGGGAGAAGTATCTCTGAATTGTTTTTCTCAGCAAGCAACATCCCTGAGAAAGAGAATGCATCCCTGAGGGTAGGCCTCTGAAATGGTCACTTTGGGGGCGGCTGTCTTTTATGGTCACAGCTGTGGGATGAAATAAGCCCCAATCTCCTGTGGTGCTCCCAGGCTTATTAGGATGAGGAAATTCCCACCTAATAAATTTTAGTCAGACTGGTTGTCTGCTCTCAAACCCTGTCTCCTGATAAGATGTTATCAATGACAATGCGTGCCTGAAACTTCATTAGCAATTTTAATTTTGCCCCAGTCCTGTGGTCCTGTGATCTCGCCCTGCCTCCATTTACCTTGTGATATCTTATTACCTTGTGAAGCATGTGATCTCTGTGACCCACACCCTATTCGTACACTCCCTCCCCTTTTGGAAATCACTAATAAAAACTTGCTGGTTTTGTGGCTTGGGGGCATCACGGAACCTGCCGATATGTGATGTCTCCCCCGGACACCCAGCTTTAAAATTTCTCTCTTTTGTACTCTTTCCCTTTATTTCTCAGACCTGCCAACACTTCGGGAAAATAGAAAAGAACCTATGTGAAATATTGGGGGTGAATTTTGCCTGATAATAAATGACCAGATTAAAGGAAATAAATATCTAAATATATGGTAATAATGCAACCAATCTCCTCGGGATGAACTCTTATAGGAGGCACAAGAAATTTTAGGTACAATTCAGTGTACAAAGAAAACCTGAAAAGTGAAATCTGTAGAAAATATTTGATTCCCAAGGCAAAGGATAAAGAGGTTGTTGCTGTTATGGTAGTACTTTCTGTGTGTCAGGCAGTATCGTAAGTACTTTGCAGCATGAAATTATCAAATCCTCATTCTAACCCTGAAAGATGGGTGCTATCATTATTCTCATTTTACAGGTGAGAAAACATGCTACCAAACTTATTAAAATTATATAATAATGGAGAAAGTAAGTGGCTCAGTTGTTAACATAGCACTCTTCGTTAAAATCTTGGTGAGAGGTAATCAAGGCAGAGGAGCTGAAAAACAACTAGAATTCTGAATCCACCACTTTACTAATTTATTCTTTCATTTTTAAGATATGAATATCCAAGTAATGTGTGTTAGGCTTTTGCTAGACACTGGAGGGAGAGTGAAAAAACAAAAAAACAATGAACTAGAAAAATGTTCCAAAATGAAGGAGACAGAAACAATTCATAAGTGAGAGAAACCAAAAATAGAATTGATAAAAAATGATTTGGGAAAACATCATCATAAGTGAATTTGAGAAAAGTATCTGAGTTTTCTTAAAGAATCCTTCACCTACAAGCCTTTCCAGACAGTGGGCATAGTCACAAAATGTTCTAAGCCCTCATCATCCAAGATGGTGCCAGAAAAACATGAAAGAGCCTGGGAAGTTAATTCTTAAGGAGCTCCAGGAACCCGGGTGAAAGAAAGAATTATTCACTAACACCCTTAAAGAAAGGAAATAGAAAACAAGTGGAAGACGGTTTACAATAATAATAATAATCATCATCATCATCCATCTGGTTCTAAATACCAACAAAGCCAAAGACAGATTTCTAGCAAAGCAGAGACACTTCTTAATAATTCTAAGTGGCCAGGTCAGAAGTGACTCTAGTCTGTTCTTCTCAGCTCGATCAAAACAAGTCAGTGGACTTCTGTGACATGATAGGAATCTTGAAAAAACACTCAGACTCTTAAATTAGGAGTAAGTGGGTTTTAATTGTAGCTCTACAAAATACCAGCTGTGTGGCCTGAGGCATGTTGCTTAAAGACTCCCAGTTTTAATTTCATCATGTGGAAAATAGAGATAATGATAGAACCCACCTCATAAGTCAGTAAAGATTAAATGTAGTAATGTGTGTGAATTGCTTAACAAAGCATTTGATACCTAGCACATGTTTTGTTGCTGATAAGTACTAATAGTATTATCATCTAATTAGATTGACTGATTACTGTGGCTAGAATAATTACTAAATTTGATCAGAAGTGTTTCTTTACTGTTTTACTAATTCTCTTCGAGTGATGCATTACCGTGTGGCTTGCCTGGGCTAATGGAGCGAATGTGAAAGTAAAGTGTCACTTCTGGATAGAAACCTTTCAAAGCCAGTCAGAATTCACCTGATTTCCTTCCTGCTTCCAGGGTGACGAGCAACATTCTGGATAGTAAAGGCTCCCTCAGTCTAGGTCCCTTAACAATGATGACACAAAGCATACTCTTGCCAACCTGTGATGAGCATGAAGTATGAAGTGAGAAATAAACTCCATTCTGCTAGCTCCTGAGGTATGGGGTTGGCTTGTTACCACAACACAGCCTAACCTATTCTGACTATCCCAACAGTATTCTAGATTTGTTTTGACTTTTAACTTCTAAGTAATATAAATGCTTTCAGTTTTTATATATTGATCCAATCTCTTTTCATTCTTGTTACCTTTATGTCCTCTTCAAATGTTTCTAAATCAAGGCTGCCTGATAGATTGAAATTCCCATAGGACAAAGACTGTGATTTTGAATTCTCTTCAGGTAACAGAACTTAAAACAATGCTAAAATCAAATCTGGCATTTAATAAATGCCTCTTTGACAATGGCAATGACAGTGATGATCATAAAACCATCTTCATGATAATCTCTTTATGTCCATTCCTACTTAATTCTCACTACTCAAATAGTTCTCTCAGAAGAAAGACAGATATTTTAGAAACAACTGTCACTAAAGAAGGCATACAGGTAGGTATTTTGCTCTCTGTTTCAAACCTATTCTGAGAATAGAAAAACAAATCTTAAAGCTGATATTCTTGGATCTTGCATTAATGCTCCAGAATAAGTAACAAAACCTCAAATGTGTTCATGTTCTATAAAGGAAGCATAAAAACATTAGTCTTTATACAAGTTTTCCTTATTGGATCAGTGATGTGTAAAAACACTCAAATAATATTTGCTGGACTCAGAAATAAGCAAGAGCTAGCTGTGTAGTGTTTATGCATGCAGATGTGGTGGGCTCTTTTTATTCTTGTGGAACCCTCCAGCATTCTAAGACTTTCTTGCTCCAGTGAGGCCAGAGTGACAAGGTTGGTCAGCATGGCTTAGGCAGGGTGTAGCAGGAGGCAGAAAGGTTGGCAGAGAGGGTGGTGAACATGTGATTGAGTGAGGCAACATACTCGCCCTTTACACTTGCATCCCTTATCTCACTCGAAGAGTAGTCTGTCCATCCAGCCCCAAGGGGTGTGCAGTCCATCTCAGGATCTGCACCTCCTTCACTCCAGATAGTGCTGTCATCAGTGAGGAAAGCTCAGCTGAAGAGCTTGGACAGATGAAAAGCATAAAAGGGGAAAAGAAGACTGAAGTACTTGGGCAGATCAAGAGGAAAGTACATGAGCTCCATTGCTTTTAAGATAAAAAAGCAAAATCCTTATCACGACTGACTGTGTCCTCCATTATCTGACCCTTTCCACACTCTCTAAGCTCATCCCTCACTTTTCCTCAGCCACATTCATGTTAAGTTCCTTAAAGATCTTTGGCACATCCCTCTTTCTTAGCCTAGTAACTCCTAGCCATCATTCTAAGTCCAGCACAAATGTGCTCAGCAAAGCCTTTCGTGATGCTCCATGGCCATCCCAGAATAGAGCAGCTCTTCTAGTCATATATTTTCACACAATTTAAAATTTCCCCTTATGGCTCTTATGAAGTCAAGTTGTTAACTTTGCACCAGTACATTTATTTTAGTATCTGTCTCTAGCACTAACAATTAAGCTATATGAGGGAAGAGAAAGCATCCACTCACCAACGGATCTCCAGCACCCACTATTCTCCCTGAGACAGGCATAGTTTTCAGCAAATAACCTAAATGAGCAAGGCTAGTAGAGGGTATGAAGCACAGCATGCCTATGAGCTTCATCTCTTTTGGACAAAGCCACCTTTTTCTCCCTTCCAGCAGCTCCTTCTCTGAGGCCACCTACCCCTGCACAGCTCTTGGCCAGAAAGAATCTCAGTTGAACAGCATATTAGATGGAAGTGCCCAATCAATAGGAACTGTCCCCAGAATTGCAATATGGCTAGAGAGAGGATTTGACCTTTAAACTTCTAGGCAAGAAAGACAAGCTTTTCCTTTACTCTCCTTGGCCAAAACTACTAGAATGTGATCCTAATGGAGATTGATTGTCAAATTCCCCTGAAGGCATTTATGAAAATTTAGGATCCTAAGAATTCTCTTCATGTGCCTCAACTTCTGCATCTGTAAGATGGAAAGAATAGTACAAACCTCTCAAGATTATTTTGAGAACTAAGACAAATAATGTATGCAACAGTGTTTACCAGAGGCCTGGAAGACACAGTGCTCCAGAAATGGCAGCTATTATTAACATAATGATTCAACACATAGGATTTTAATTTTATATTATACTATAGTTACTAGGAATATCTATGTATCTACTTCTACACAATAAAAAAATCTGTAGAAATTAATGTTACAAGAACGAGGTAATATTTTTAAGTGAGGTTGTTAGCCTACTTAATTAATCTTATCATAGATTTAAAAGCATAGAATGGTCTAAGATAGATTTTCTGAAGCACTGCTAAAATAAAGAAGTATTTTAAAGACTTTTTAAATGGAAGAACATTTGCTAGGGAAAGTAAAGAGCATTAAAGACTTGGTTGTAAAAAGTTCAGTATATTCCACAGATAGTAGAGTTAAAGGGGGGCAAAGAAGATTATACTATTTCTATTTTATCCTCCTTGGTGATCACTCCATAGCTGATAATCTAATAACAAAAATCTAATCTATATAATTAATATCTCATTTATAGGTAAAATAATTTGTTATCTAATATGGCTCAGTGAAAACTCTGTTTAGCATTCTCTGGGCTTCTAATATAGATTCATGCTGAGGTTCCAAGAGATCAACTTGAAAATATGCTCTCTAATCCAACATAAGGCTAAAAATTATGAAGGCAAGATTTTGCATCTACACCAATATGTTTTCTGGAACACTGTAATGTGGCATAACAACACGCAAAGGTGGCTTTTCACTAAAGATGGAAGCCCAAATAACTGATGTGCTTCAATACAAAATCGAATTAAGAACAAATTTGTGGAGGGGAACAGTCAAAGCCTGAGACCAGAAGAACCCACAGGCGACTTCCACCTGCTCTAGAAGTGGCAGGGACAGGCATGGGGGTGGGGAGCAGGGAACAACCAAGAACAAGTATTTCTCAAAGGACACTTGCTCTTTCCAAAAGGATCAGAGAAAAGTACCATATGAGAGCATTCTCCACTCAAATAGAAAACATTCTCAAAGAGAAAAAAAAAAAACCCACAAAAATAAAGAGGCAAAGGACTAGGGTGAAGCATTTTCAGGTTTCCTTCCATAAACTTGTTTGACAAATTCCAGGATCACTCACCAGGCCCAAAGTGGCCACTATTCACAGTTGGATCCAACATTAAATCCCCAAATCAATAAACATTTTAAAGCCAACAAAGAGGGCCTTAGACACAAGGTGGAGAGAGGTTTGTTTTCATTTTAACAGGAACTTGGCTGCTATTTCTAACCCAAAAGTAATTTGCTTCTGGACTGAAAGAGAGAGAGACTTTAGATTTAAGGATAGTAATGCTGTAATTCTTAATAAACTATTGCAAATCAAGCATTCTGAATAGGGCTCGATAGAGGTGCATTCACAATCTCACTTTTCATTCATACTGTAGCCTCTCACACTAATCTCCGCCCAACTCCCAGGCAAAAGTTTCTTAATTAAGGATGGGGGGTGGACAGTAGGTGGCGATGTGGGTTAACAAGTGAACTTGAACACTGCCTTCACAGACTCCAGCCTTCAAAGGAGGGAGCAACTGATACTCCTTGTGGCCACTCTAAGGCTCAATAGAATAGAAGGAAGTGTGGATCTTCTCCGGCTTGCAGCAAGAAAATGGCTGACCCTGGAACACTGTAGAACATCAGCCCATGTCTTCCCTACTCATAGTCTATTATCTCCTCAGGTATGCCAATGCTGAAAGTATTTAAATAAAGTAAATTGTCCTATTCACATCTCAACATGGATTATACATAAAAGTAATTGTGCAGCAAATTAAATGAAAATAACAATTACATGTCATGAAATAAACTAATACTAGAGCCCACTAAACTATCATGGAGGACACAGGTTATGCTGTTTTATTTTCCTTTCTTTCTGAGGGCTCCAAATTAGAGCACCATGTTATTAAAAAAATATACATTTAAAAGACTAGGGTTCCTGAGTTGTGGTCCACAGACGAGCTACATCAGAATTACTGCACATGCTTATGAAAATGTATATCAGTCCCAACTCAACCTACTGAATCAGATGTTCTGAGCATGGAGCTGAGGAAACTACACTTTGGCCAGCTTCTCATTTAGGCAATAAAATTGCTCTTTATATCTTATACTTCACTGAATAGCCTCCCAAGAAGGAGGTGAAAACCTTTTGAATAACAATATTTATAGTAAAGGCAGCAGCAAAAGCTGGGATTTATAAGGAGAAAGTTGTTTTTCTGTCTCCCCTTTCCCCATCATGGCAGATAATAGAATAAGTAACATTCTCTTTCCTTTTTTGCTTTCATGTTGTGTCTTGCCTGTTTCCTAAGTCTCTGTGTTCTGGAAAATTTAAACATCTTAACTGTTTCTAGTGCATATGATTTTAATATTTATGGGTTTTAGATGACGTAGACACATTTTGAAAGAGACCTTAAAAATTGATTCAGTGTATTCTGTGTGCCAGAGCAAGATAATAAGCTTGACAAATTATAGGGCACCCCCACAGTGCCCCTACACATAGTACATTGGGGGACAATCAGGATGCCAAAAACCCTGTAATTAGAGGTGTTGTGGCTGGAAGGAGTCTTGATTACAAAAGCCTGAGAGCCTGTGCAAGATCATTTCTTTTTCTAAGAGAGGATCACCTTACTAGATAAGAAACACTGCATTTTCTACATAGCATAGACTTAGAGTCTTTGAGGGACAGGGGCCCTCTATCAATGTTGTACTTACTTATATTACATTTTTAGACCCAGCCACTTTGCAGAGTTTCTTTGACAAATGAAAGTCTTGGATAAGACCAAAGAATTATAAAGTTGGGACCTGTACATAGCTGAGTCTCCCAACAGAAAGTGCAGTAGGGAAAAAAAGCCTATGTATATAATAAACTAGAGCAATAGCAACAAAATAGACACAGTGGGTGAGAAATATAACAATTTCTCATCACTTACTCCCTCATCTCATTCAAAAGAGATAGGGACAAAAAGAAACTGGATGCCAAGTGCCCAGAGCATAGTGTACAAAGAACACAGATGCCCCACAACCTGAGTCCTAATAGCCTCTGATAATAAATCTCATGTCCCTGTGTGGGAGCCTGCCTTGCCCCAAACCTATCGCTTCCAATTCCTTCTCTGAAGATGTAACCAGCCCACTGCTGCCACCGCCGCCACCAGCCACCACCAACTGCAGGAGCAGCTGGTCGAATCCGTTTCAGCAGAGAATCTTAGTGAAGTGCGTAAATCCCATACGGGGTGGCTGCAAGCAGAGCTGTCATCAGCAGAGCTGAGCTATTTTTGGAACCATCTTAACTGATTGTCCGCCACCGCTATTCTCTACTCCTGCTTCCCTTTGCCGGTTCTCTCTCTCTCCCCTCCAACCTAAGACGCCCAAGACTGACTGATCAATAATATGATAAAAAGCAGACAGCTGAAGGGAACTGGTAAACAACTGACATAAGTAGATAGATACAGGAGTGATACACAATACAGAGAAGGTGATTAAGGCTAGGATGTCTTTAGCAAGACAGCCTGTAAAGAATTCAGGCATCACAGATGGACTGGGGGTGGGTTGGGAGGAGGAAGGGGAGGGGAAGAGTCTGCAACACAAAAAAAAATTCTCAAGGAGCATCCTCTCTCTCTTTTCTTCCCACTGTAGGCTGTATGTCGGTTCTTTATTTAGCAGGGCAGGGTCAAGTGTTTCATGCACAACTTGCTCCTTAACCTTCCAAAGCTTGCTGCTTTCAACACTGGTGTGTGCTGGTAGCCGCAGCAGTATCTGCACAATTCAGGTTATTAGCAAGAAGGCAGAGGAAATTCAGGAACACAGTTCAGGAGACCCAAACATATCAGTCCTCCTTGTACCTGAGTATCCAAAAACGAAGCTTTGTTCTCAGTGGTATGTTTAAAAAGGAGCCTCCTCACCTGGTTACCTTAGTTGCCAGGTAACACTGCAAGGGCCACGCAAGCCAGCCACTCAAAGGCCAGCTTCCCAGGAGTTAGCACGAATGAACCTGCTTCATTTTCCTAAAATAATGCAACTTTTTGCTTCAGCTTTTTAAGTCGGTTTGCCTCTCTGACCATTACTTGCATTCTTTCTTTCCAATCTCTTAATACTAGTAGTCAAGTAAAATAGACCAGTATTCAGGAAAGGGATTTCAAGGCAGAGGGACCCAGGTGCCAAGTGAGTCATTTATCCCCCTCCATCTTTCTTCTTTGTGCCCACCTCACCTTGAACAAATTATTCAACCTCTCAGCTGCCGGAGGAAACTTTGCAATACATAACGGAATCACATCACTCATTTATTTATAAATGTTTCCTCAAGCTTCCTGTCGCTCCTAGAATAAGATGCAAACTCCTTACCTTGGCCAGCAAGACCCTGCCTGATCCTTGCATCTTTTCCCACCACCACCCCTCCCTTGTTCACTCACCAGCCATACATACATTCTTTCTGTCCTGCAAACCCACCTACTGTGTTCCCACCTTCAATTGGCATGACCTGTAACCTAGCCTTACCTTCTGCACAACATATTTTCCTAGGAAAATTATGCTACTTATTTGTTGAGTTGCTAATGACCTGTCTCCTCTAAAATATAAGCTGTCTTGTTCACAACTACATTATCAGCACTTAGAAATATGGGTGCTCAATAAATAGTAGATGAATGTTTTTGAATGCACTAAGATTCCTCACTTCAAAGGGGAATAATAATACCTCTTTGGCAGGGTTGTTGGGAGGACTAAATAAGAAAAGGAATATAAATTGTTAACCACAGTGCCTGGAACACCTTAAAAACATTTAGATTTTTTCAGATTTGAAAGCCACTTCCTACCATTTTAACCACCAGAAACAATTTCCCTCTACCCTGATAGTTCAAAATCTTTGAATCTTTTTCAAATATTCTCTTCAAGTAAGTCTCCAAATTTTCCTGACCCAAGATTCCCCATCTTGACCAAGTTCTTTTGATGCTTTTCTTATTAAAATAGTCTTAGGAAAGCAGCAAAGTAAAGAATTATTTGAATCTCTCAGATTAAGTATGGGAACAAAACCAAGCATTCAGTCTTCAGTCCAAGGGATGTTCACCTTGCCATGCCTCAAGGGTGGATGGACACACTGCAATTCCCCTAGAGATGACAACAGGAGACTGCGGAAATGAATGGTCTGTAAACTTCACAAAGCTAGAAATCTTGGAGGCTTCCTGGCATTTATGGGCTCACAAAACCAAGGCTCTAAGGGTTCCTGAAGGAAGAGGTCACTCAAAAGACATGAGATCTTAAGCAATAGTGAAAAGTAACACAGTCAGGATCACTGAACACTTTAGAGTACTAATTACAGAATTTGTTAAAGAACCCTGAAAATAAGCTGTTTTACTTACCAAGCAATAGAAATAGAACTTGGGAGAGACAAGCAAAGGCACAGCCATGACTAACTTGAGCAACTCTCCTGAAGCATGGGGAATAGAGGAGCCTCAGCCTCATGGAGTCTATCTCCAACCCCTAGGTTACAAATCTTCAAGGGCAATAGCTTATGTCTTCCCCGGAAAGATGTTTTATGCGTGAAACTTAGATTGTAAATTCCATGTATACCAGACCTGCAGATGACTCTACAACTTTTGTATTTTACACAGTGCCTGGTACAGCTTCAACAGGATCAATGTTATCCAACTGACATCCAAGCTCCTCTTCAGTCCTACATAACAAGATGAGTTCTCTAAGGAACCAAAATCACTGAGTCACAGGGATACCGATAAGAATACTCAGTTTTCTATGATTCCAGTATTTGGCATTATTATTATTTAAACCACAGCTGAGTTCCATTTGTTTTTGACAGTTAGCAGGAAATATTCAAGGAGATGTCTTTTGCTTACAATGGTGCCTGCCTTTGATCTAGGCACTTTTATGCATTAATTAACCCTCTTGTCCTCCTCCTTTACCCCACTCCCCACTGAGAAACATGCTGGTATTGGCCTACTCTTGTACACCAAGGCACAGAGAGGATTTGTCCAAAGCCGACAGCAAGAGAACTAAGCTACACTTTCATGCTTACTTAGCCTAGTTGCAAAATCTCATGCCATGTGCCACCTTAAAATCAGCTGTTAGTTTAATTATGAAATACCTGAATGCTGTGTAATTACAGCTGTTTCTCATGAATTGCTGCCTCCTTATAAAGTAAAACATCCAGCTAAGTAGTAACACCTGGAATCTGGAATTATTTCTTTCTTTCTTGGCAAGAACAACTAAACAGAGTCGTTGATTGTATCAACATCTTAGGCAGACTTCTTGAAGTAGCCATCATTACCTTTGGCAGGTTTAAGTATATGCAACCAGAAAACTTGACAACCATTTTTGATTCAAGAGACAAAGCTCTTGAATTTGTCTCTTGCATTATTATTATTTAAACCACAGCTGAGTTCCATTCGTTTTTGAAAGTTAGTAGGAAATATTCAAGGAGATGTCTTTTGCTTACAGTGGTGCCTGCCTTTGATCTAGGCACTTTTATGCATTAATTAACCTTTTTGTCCTCCTCTTTTACCCCACTCCCCACTGAGAAACATGCTGGTATTACCCCACTCTTGTACACCAAGACACTAAGTCTTTTTCGACTTAGAAATAATTTTGTAAAATATTTATTTTGAAAGAATTTTTCATTTCAAGGTCAATGGAGGTAGAAAACCATCTTGCAGAAAAGAATTTCATATGTGATCCTGAACAAAGGCAAAGAATGAGACAGAACAATTTTATCGACTTAAATGAGGGTCCCACTATTTATTAAAAAAAACTGTGAATAGTGATGGTAATTACATTGATTTTTGCTATTACTAAAGCAAAAGACAAAGTGAATTGGGACAGCACTGGCATTCCAACCCACAGGACTTTTCAGGAAATGGAGCAACAGATGTTGATATTCACCCATGAAAACTCTGCTAAAATTGCAAATGAGTGAAAGTGCTATTGTTCTGTTGTTGTTTTTTTTTTTTTTTTTTTTTTTTTTTGACATGGAGTCTCCCTCTGTCACCCAGGCTGGAGTGTAGTGGCACAATCTTGGCTCACTGCAACGTCCGCCTCCTGGGTTCAAGCAATTCTCTGCCTCAGTATCCCAAGTAGCTGGGATTACAGGCGCCTACAACCACGCCCGGCTAATTTTTGTATTTTTAGTAGAGACGGGGTTTCACCATCTTGGCCAGGCTGGTCTTGAACTCCTGACCTCGTGATCCACCTCCCAAAGTGCTGGGGTTACAGGTGTGATATTGTTCTATTCTTTTTCAGTGAGAATCGTGGCTTGCGTCATCAGTTTTCTAATACCTGCATGCTATAATTTGGAAATTAAAAGTCCAAGCCTTATCACCAGCTTAGGCTACAAGAGTAAGTTACGTGACCTTGGTCCCATAAATAGTTTAGTGAAAAATACTCCCACTACCTTGTTCTATAAGAATGTAGCAAGTCACTTAGTAAAGTCATCAGCTTGCTCCACCTTCCATGTCAGACCAAGATCTATTTCTCACTTCTTTTTATTAAAGTTCCCAAATCAAGAAGTATTCTTCAATGTGTAATTTCTGATCGTAAGAATATGTGAAATATTTTAAATATTTGCTAAGCATTTGATGATACTCAGTAAAACTTCCATTGATGTCTAAAGTAACATTTTTCCATTGTTGTCAGATGAATGAAGTTGAATGTGGCATATAAAATGGAAACTCTTGTGGATATGGCAGAAGATGTGATTAAGATTCATATTTCAAAAATATTCCCTTACAATATTTGCTGCTGCCAACTAGAGAAGAGATTCAAAATGCTTAAAGGAATGCATTATATCTTCTCAGAAAATGAAAAAAAAAAGAGCTCCTAAATACTATTTTATTATTAAATAATTTTCTTTAAAGCTCCCAGGCCTGTGGCATTATATCAGTTACAAATAGGAAACACCAAGAAAAAAATGAGTATACTAATCCTGATTTAAAATTTAAAAAAAGAGTAAAAACCCCTGTAATATCTTGTGCTAAGACGAGGCAGGAAAAAAATGCCCTATGTTACACAATGTAATCTCTTACTCTTCATTTTCCTGACAAATTAAAATTTTGGAAATCCTATGTTAGCAGAGATGCTGCATTTAGACATCTTTAATAAAATTTTATTCAGAATCAAACATAAATTGAGAATTTGTAACAAAATCTAGGCTGACAAGTACCTTTATCATATCCATAAAAATGGATATGAGAAGCAAATTAAGATATCACCAGTTTGTCAAGCCTATTTACCTTACTTATAAAAATATTTTAAGCATGCTACGAGTAACTTAGATATTTTATTTTAATCAACTAAAATGATAATGTCAGCCTTATATATTCCCAATAGCATTTATTGGGATGGAGATAACACACACACGCACCCATACACATCTTGGGCGAGTTATTGTATGTATTTCGAAGCAATTTTATTTTTTAAAAAATCCATGATATACTATTTTATGAATTCAGACTGATTTCCCCCTCTGGCTATCTGAAACTGTAACAGGTTACTCTCTCACAGAGTTTTCCTCTCTTTCGGCAATTCTTAACAGAGCACAGAATTTTGTTGCATTCATGTGAAACATTGTTATCAAATACCATTGCCTAGAAAACTACCTTGTCTTTTAAGGCAAGACACTCTAATTAACTTCCCTGAGCTGAACTTGATTCTGTTAGAACCATTTTCTCACATTCTACTTAACTGAGGCAAAGGACTTGATTTTTTGAGTCAAATTAACTCAGGGTGTTTTATTTAGATACTGGCAATTCTCTTTGGATTAGTGTTTTTACAACCATTAGCAACAAAGGATTTAAAATAATTTTATTTTAAAAACCTTCAGAAAATTACAATATAGGACTAGATGCAATATTTTTCTGTAAAATAAACTTGAGTTGATTCTTTTGGGATTGGATAAAATAATTTTTTCCCCCAGTCTACAGTATTCAATTAACTGATGAGTTTTGGGCTTCTAGACATCCATAGTGAAACTAATAGTTGAGCTATTTTACCCGATTTAGCAATTGAAGACCATTGACTATGGTGAAATCCTCTCTATAGCTCAAATGACTAGACCTATGGATCCTTAACCCCACAAGTCTTACCACTAATACACTGGTGTCATCATTTCTTCAAATATGGTTCAAACAGTGTGATTTAACTGTCCCTCAACTGAAACACTGGCTTGCTTCCAGTTTAATAATGGTGAGTTGGAATTTATAAACATTTACATTTTGACATGAAAGGCTGCAGATAACCTGCGAATTTGCCTCCACAAGTGACTAAGAACAAAAGAAAGGATGATTGTAAATCAGAAAGAGAATTTAACTCACTTAAAATTCTGATTATAGATCAGTTTAATGGGGACAGTTCAAGATAGAGATAACAGTCCCTTTCCCTTCTCAACCGTACTGGTGTCTTCCTATTCCTCAAACACACCAAGTATGTATCTTCCATAAGCCCTTCACCTTTGTCAATGTCTCTGCACAGAATGCTCTTTCCCAAACCCTTCCAAGACTAGATCCTTCTCATCATTCAAGTATCAAATGTCCAAAATTCAAATATCATTTTCTCAGAAAAGCTTCCAGGGCAGTTTTATCTAAAGTTATACTTCCTCCCACATCCAGGCATTTACTTTACTCTGTTTAATTTTATTTATTGCATTTGGCATTACTTGAACTCACTTAAGTCTTTATGCATTCACAAATGTTAATGCAAATCTTATAAGGAGAGAAACCATGTTGGTCTTGTTCAGCATTGCATTACCAGCATCTAGAACTAAAAAATGCTTTAAATGAAGAGTTTTCCAAACTTCCATGTGCCTATTGTTTGGAATTCTGGGTAGCTAGTCTGCTTTCCAAACATAATTTCTACAAATGTACCTCTCTTAGGGTCCTAGAACAGGGATTAGCAAACTATGGCCATTGGGCAAAATCTGTCCTACCACTTGTTTTAGTAAATAAAGTTGTATTGGAACTCAGCCTTACCAATAAGTTTAGACATTGTCTATGGCTGTTTTGTGCTACAAGAGCACAATGGAGTAGTTGTGACAGGGCTATATGGCTTTTAAATCTAAATATTTACTATCTGGCCATCTACAGAAAAAGTTAGCCAACTTCTATATGGACACTTTAGAGTGGACCACCAACTCTCCAGTTCTTAATGAAAATATTCAGATATGAAGTTTATTTAATGCCAATTACTCTAATGTGTGAGATGAATATTTAAGCAAGAGCCTCAATATTGTTAGTTGAAGCAACATTCTCTCCAAAAGAGAGTGTGGGTTGAAAGTTAGACTGCCTTCCAAACACGTAACATGCCATCAATAGAATTGCTCTCTGGTAGCACTTGGATCGATAATATTGAACTATAAACTAAGTGGTGATTTAGAAGGGAAAGCTAAACTAACATGTAATCACATAAAACTATGGTAAAATCCTCATCAATAAACAGTTGCTGCCTGCAGGTAATTGCGACATGAACCAACACTAGATGCAGAGAGTCCAAGTAAACCCATTCTTTGTTACAAATCAATTTGAATAGAAGAACATTACCAAACCATAGCACAATGAATGTGTGCCTTCAAAGGCAATGGCAATAAAATCAGATACAACTATGTATGCTGTTAAATAGAACAAAGTGTTCTGTAAGTACAAGAAAACGCTGTTCCATGAATGCAAATACTATATGAGGTCTAGCTCAGTTCCCCAAAGGGATGTTGTCATTTTCCTCGGACACTGTTTTGAGTGAGGCCTGGCCATGAGGCTGAGACAGCTGAGTAGCTCAGCATGTCAGCTCCCACTGCAGTGCCCCAAATCAGAAGGAAGGCAGGAACAAGGCAAGCCAGTATGGCTACTCAGTGGTAGCCTACACAAATTATTTTTTTCAGCAAGACATTGGAAAATGGCATGACCTGTCAGCCCTTAGGAATGGCAGTTATTATGGCCTCAGCAAGTGTTTCACTTTCACTGATTAACTTGAAACCAATTTTCTCTTATTCCGTTCAAAATATTCTGCAGAATTTGTTTCAAAGGACAGTTTTTTCTTTAAAATATTCTGATGGCATCCAATAGTTTTCCCACCATCTATTCTCTTTGAATGGGATTCACTGGACCCATATATATGCGTCCATATGTTAGGAAAAAGTGAATAGAGAATAACGAACCAAAAATTAATTATTTGTACAGCATTGTACTAAAGATGGTGAATAGGTAATTATTTCTGGAATGTTCTTTTGTATTTTTTTTTTTTTTCGGTCCTCTCAGTTAGCCCAAAGGATTTCTGCAGCAATAGTACATTGGTGTGAGAATATCCAAATTCTGTCTTCTAGTTGCTGATGATCAGCAACAGAAATGAAATGGTAATTTAGGCCTTTGAAGGCTGAGGTACAGTAAAAATGGACAAGGAGCTTGACTTTTCATTCACAATTGAATATCTGAGGAAGATAATATTTGGGAAGAAGTGAAGATATCATGACATAGGCATGGATAACTATTGAAGATAACATCTTCAATGGATAATAACCAAAATCAGGGAGAACTTATTTTTACTAGCAAAATTAACAGTAGTCACAGACTTCAGTCTCTTAAACGTTGACATTCAGAAATAAAGCATGTATCTATTGGCCAGAAAAATGTGATGGATTGTTTTATGCCGTTGTGCAAACCTTGACGGAAAACATAGTTCATAGGATACCAAATTTATCTTTAGCCATGAGGGAAGACATGCAGGAGAAATTAAGAATTTTAAAACAGTAGTATTAAAAGTATACCAAAATATAGAACAAGCTAAATTTTGTATAATAGGCATAGTATGTTTTCGTGATTATATGGTAGACAAACACATCACCAAAACAAACAAACACAAAAACTTTGTTTCTGGTAATTGTAGTTTCTTTATCTGTAAAATTCAGATAATATTATTACCTACTTTTAGAACCATATTCAAAGGTATGCAACCAGTGCAGTCACTTAGAACCCAATGAGTTTGGGGCTTAATGCTTTCTAGTCACTGTCCTGAAATGCTTAAGAATTTTATCTGTGAATTTATGCGTGTGCATGTTTTTTCAAGTTCAATGGCACAATGGAACATGAGCCAGGGACTTGGAGCCTTGGCTTGAATGTTCTTGCCTACCCAGGCAGATTCTTCCTCATTCACTTTTCTGCCTCCCTCTAGCAACTGCTGCAACCTTCTGCCTCCACACAAAGAATCGTGGGGTGGGGTCGTGAGTGCCTGTGGGGGTCTACAGTTGCTCCCTGAGTATCCCTATGTTTGACAGGTTAACTAAAAAATTGAGAAAGAAAGGAAAAAGCTTTCATTCTGCCTTTAGAACAAGGAGCTTACATTTTTATTTGGCACTAGATCACACAAATAATGTAAATGGTCCTGTATCCTCCATATCATCCTTGTGAGAATTAAAGGATCTAATACATGTGACAATTGAAAACATTATCTGGTACAAGGTAAGTCCTCATTAAATATTGGCCTATATTATTGTTCTTGTTTCTTCTGCATATATCTCATCATGGGCAAACACATGCAATGCATGATACTCATCCAACTCAACTTTATCAGGGACAGATTAGCCCCTCTGGGGTTCAACTGAATAGTCAATCCCTGTGACTTTGGTAGAGGAGGATCTTCTCTCTTAATAATGTGACCTTACTTTCAGTGAGACAAAAGGCCTTGAATTTATTTTACATGAGATGCTAAACCAGCTGTCACAAAACTCTTCCATTAAAACCCTAGAAATTATCTTGGGTACATTCACCTTCATCAAACAGAGATTGTTGTCCTGTCTCCTATGAAACATTTTACAAACGAAGCAATTCCATTTGACAAATCAGAAAGGTCAGACAAGTGCCCAGGAGGCCTGGTAAAACTGATGTTTCCATTGTTACGAGTTCAAATGATCAATGAGCAATTCACGCCGTGAGGCACAAGGCTATAAGAACATCCATGATTTTTGGTGCCTGTATAGATGCTGGTATGGAAAACATATGGTTGGGAGCTATGCTTCTGTTCAGAAATTTTTCTTCTTCATCCAATGATATTGTAGCTCTTATTACTAATAATGACGGCTTGGAAAAATCACCTCAAAACCAAAAACTAATTAATAGCAGAGCAGGTTTAACTGGACCTGAAGGTTCCATTCTTTCTATCACGCAACTCTGCCACCCATGTTGTTTTTGTTTTATTTTTCTGCTCTGAGTCATCATCTTCAATCTCTTTAAGGATCATTTTTGAAGCTTACAGAAGCCTATAAAAAGAATACAGGAATGGGTGCAAATTTTTCTTTTTCTTTTTCTTTTTTTTTTTTTTTTTTTTTGAGGCAGAGTCTCGCTCTGTCACGCAGGCTGGAGTGCAGTGTTGCAATCTCGGCTCACTGCAACCTCCGCCTCCTGGAATGGATATAAATTTCTATCCAGGGTGGGTAAGACATAAAACCTAGAATTTGATATGTGCAAAACAATACTGCACAAACAACACTTGTGCCTTAAATGTCTCTTTGAACAACCACTATTTAGGGAAAAGATGGATCCGATTTTTACTTTTATATTTTTAATTTTTATGGGTACATAGTAGGTGTATATATTTATTGAGTATATGAAATATTTTGATACAGGCATATGATGTGTAATAATCACATCAGGGTAAATGGAGTATCCTTCACCTCAAGCATTTACCATTTCTTTGTGTTACAAACAATCCTAGTATTTTTTTTAGTTATTTCTAAATGTACAATGAAATATTGTTGACTGTGGTCACCCCGTTGTGCTCAGATTGTTTTGGAATCACATTTTTTTAATTTAAATTTAGCCTTCTGATATTGTAGTATTTAATAAGGGTTTCTAAAAACATATTTCCCTTCAAGAGTTGGGCAAGTGCCCTCATTATGATAATCTATGGTATTTTCATCTGATCTGCTGAGATTTCTGTCTTTGTAAGGATGGAATAATTTTCCTCTTACTAAGAAATCTGTGTTTATCTACAGATTTCTCCTGTGGCTCAAAGTTTCAAGTCATTAAACTTACAATTGTTAATTCAATAAGTGTTCACTAATGCCTTCTATATGATTAGCACCGTGCTAGATGGTGAAGATACAATGATGAATAGTGCATTTCCCCAAATCATGAGGAGTCCAGAGGTTGGTTCTGAAGATACTCATGGAAACAAATAAAGAATAGATAACTAAAAATAAAATCTCAAGTCCCTTGACTGAATGAACAGAATCCCCTATTGGCCAAGGAGTACCCAGAGAAACCTTAAAAACTAAGTTTCCAGCCATGATGGGCAGGGAGGGTAGATATGCCTTAGTATATTCATGCCTCAGTATACCCCTTCCTTATTCACCTTTAACCAGGATTCTTTCCTAAGGAGCAACAGAAACCAGCTCTGGAAAAAAAAAAAAAAAAAAAAAAGAAGCAGGTGACCCATTTCTTTATTGTCTTTAGCCAATCACCTGAGGCCACAACCAGACTCTCTCTCCCTCTTTACAGTATTGATGTGACAGTTAATCAGTTTCACAAGGCATCCCTTCCTAAAAACCAACCACCATCTCTGGACCAGTTTTGGCTGACCTGTGGGGGATATACACTGGCAATTTTCATATCCTCTGGTTTACTTTTTGATGTCAGAGGGCCAAAAACTCCACCCTCAGATCATGCTAACACAGCTATTTTTTTTTTAACGTGTAACCCATGAAGAGGCATGAAGCTCAATTGCACATTTGCATGGTTCTCCTCCGTAAATATTCATGACTCTTTCTATAGTGTATTAAATATGTATATTCAGCTACCCTGCTCAGCATAAATTCCTGTTCCCTTTACCCCTGATCACCTCAATGTGCTTGCTCTCAGCTTTTGCCAGAGGCTATGCTTCCCAGCCTCTGGGATGGCCAGCCTGCAGGCTGCAACCCTTTATGAGAAATAAAGTTCTCCTTTCCAATTTTATAAAACCCATGATTCTTTGTTTACAGCATATAACTGTGATAAGAGTTCTGAAAGATGTGCGAAGTGCCAGGAGAACTTAAAGGTGGAAAAAGCTAGACCTGCCTGGAGTAGAAGGAAGGTTTCATCTAGGTGGTAACCCCTTGAGCTGTTATGAAGGATGAGCAGACAGCTGTTGCAAAGGCAGATACAGAGGAACAGTCTATAGGGCACACAGCAAAGCATGGACACAGAGGTAGCGTAGAAGAGCCTCGGGGATTGCAGCAGCCACAACCTGTTGGCTAAGACTAGAGGACTAGAGTACAATGGAAGGAAATAAGAGACAGAGAGTACCAGCATTACCAAGAGAAGGTCAACAAAGCATCAGTCATGTGGAGAGTGATTCATCAGTAATAAACATAAGTTGAATTATGGCATTCTAATGTTATCCTCTTCTTAGTTGTCTCTGTTCCTGAATAATAATTCCTAATTCATCTTCTATGCATCTCTAAATGCCAAGTACCTTTCAGTCACTGAAATAGACAATGCCTTCGAGACTGGTTATGGCAAGCATGGGGCACTAATATGCCTATAGAGCTGAGCTGAGGGAGCTTGACTCTGGAAGGTCAAGACTTCAGAAAGACTACCTACAGAGATAGGAGGTATTAGTGATTAGAAGTGGCCTCTTTCATGGGACCATCAGCACTTGTTCTAGAGTGATAGATTTCATTCATTTAGGCATTAACACTTCAGCATACAAGTGGCAGAGGCAATATGTACAATGGTGAGGAGCAGAGGCTTTGGAATGGAGTAGACTGAATCTGAAGCTAGGCAAAACATTCCATATGACTAAGTCTCATTTCTTTCTTTTCTTTTTTTTTTTTTTGTTTGTTTTTGTTGTTGGTTGTTTGTTTTGTTTTTTGAGATAGAATCTTGCTCTGTTACCCAGGCTGGAGTCCAGTGGCACGATCTCGGCTCACTGTAACCTCCACCTCCCAGGTTCAAGTGATTCTCCTGCCTCAGCCTCCCAAGTAGCTGGGATTGCAGGTGTCCAAAGCCATGCCCGGGTAATTTTTGTATTTTTAGCAGAGACAGGGTTTCACCATGTTGGCCAGGATGGTCTCGAACTCCTGACCTCAAGTGATCTACCCACCTCGGCCTCCCAAAGTGCTGGGATTACAGACCTGAGACACCACACCCAGCCTCCATATGAACAAGTCTCATTTCTAAAATGAGGGTAATGACACCTACCTTATAAGATTGTGGTGAAGATTAAATAAGATAATGCCAGCAAACTTCTTATCCCATAATGGCAGAAATCACTCAATGCTATTGTTTTTACTATAATAATTAGTAGCCACCTGTCAAGTGCATGCACTTCATATAGCAATAGCAAAGACTGTCAAATGTTTATTGTAAATATCCTTGTGCATAGACTTAGTAGCCTATATTATTTTGCTGTGACAAAGGAGAAAAAGGGTCCAGGAAGATATGAAGAGGGGAAAGAATGAAGTTGTATCTTCACTTAGTATTCAATTTTCATGCCTTTGAAATGTTAACCATGAGATTCCTACTCCTTGTGTTTTCTATCAGATATGTAGGAGGATGGATAAACAAAGTCATGGATAAGTACCTGAGTACTTAACTAGTCATCGCGGTGTTACCATATCTGGCTTTTCTATTTATGATGACCGGAAAGTTTTGTAAATTGGTTCTATTAGTAAAAGGGAGTTTGCTTGTCAATAAGTAAACCGAGCAGTTAAGTTAAACATTCCAACTGCCGGCAGGTATACCTGGGCAATCTGAGTTTAATTTCAATTATCAATTTCTTTTTGTAAGGAAATGGTAATCCTTCTCTAGCCAGAGATAACCGGCCCAGTGGCTGCATCATTTTTTTTTTTTATCCATCTTCCTTTGTGTTCTCTTTTCTCTGTGAGATGGGAAAGGTACAGAATTTTTCCAGCATTATAAAACACACTACATGTGTGTTGCTCCATTGTGAATACTTCTTTGTGTCCCTTTCCCTTTGTCTTTCTATCTGACACACATTTGCTGCTGCCATACACTGTTTCTGCTCCTTTCAAGCATTCCGTTTCTGTTGCTCTTACCCCTTCAGTCCTATGGGCATTGTCACTCTGGTCAGTGGGGCAGTTCCTTCTCCTCGGATTCTGGGGAGGAAAGGAAGAAAAGTGCCTCCTATCACAGGAAAACCCCTCACAGGAAATAAGCAGGTCTTCCTCTCTCTCGCTTTTGTGTTTCAAATATTACTTTTTATTATACTGGAACAGAGGAGCAGCCCTCTGTTTATTGCTTTAGATTTTATCCTGCCCGCACTTGTGGATAACACCAATTTCATTTCTCTGTCATCTCCTGGATTTCAGAAATAAATTTCATTCCACTCCTATTCATCGGTTTAGGTAAAAATATTCTAATTCGTTACCTTTGCAGTGATCCCCCTCTTTTTTCCCCATTAATCCTTTAAAAACAAAGTCCTGTGTCATCATTAAGAGACAGCTTGATTTAGGGGACAAAAGAGTACTCATATGATGAAGAATTATAAAACTAAATTTATAAAGGTTCATGCCTACCATTCATCACCTTGAGATTTTATGTCAAGCACTCAGTGTCCATGAGCCTTGGTTTCCCCATTTGTAATATGTTGATATTAAAAAAGAAATGTGCCCCAGCAGGCCTATTGGAGGATCCTGAGTTCATAACCATCCAAATATTTTGCTTTAGAGGACATGATCTCCATTACATTTTGCCTCTTTTTTGGGACACATACACATTTTAATACTTTTCTACTGCAATATACTTTCAGCCATTTAGGAAGGACACTTAGATTATTATAACTCAACACTGCACCTCTTACTTGCACCCCTTGATAGCCTCTCTTGTTTTCATTTTTCCACAGGGTCCCTTGAGGAATCTTTGAGGACAGTGCTGCTGACAGAGGGCTGGCACAGGCTTGGGGATGACAATGATTTTCTGAACAGATATTATATAGTCAGATTTCCTCTGAAACAGCTTAATTTTGAGAAGGAAATGTATAAAGTCTTCTTAGTTTTATTTCCCTAACTTCAAATAAACTCAGAGTTAAAAAGCTATGTGATTCTAGTAAGTCAACAGAACAGCCAGAAAATTACTCCATTTTTTTTTTTTTTTTTTTTTAGAAATAACATCTCCTGGTCTGTAAAGTTTTCTTCCCAAAATTGGAAACTGTGTTTCCTGAGATGCTTTGAATCAGTAAACAGACTTTCATTTTGTGGCTAATTATTCTGGAAACTCCAGAATTCAAATTATATTATCTTTTATGATATGCATAAAAACAACTGCAATTTATATATATATATATGTATATATGTACTTTATACATATAATTTATATATATTAGGCATAATGAAAGGGAAATACATCCATTAATACATTTATCTTGTTACCAAACAAGAATAAAGAATTTAGGTTAATAATATTAGCTTACCAAATGGTCACTGTACATCCTACACCGCATAGAGGTCAAACGGTTAAAAGATAAACTGAGGCACAATAAAAATTTTAAGGACTTTATTAACAAACAGTGATTCATGAATTGGACAGGGAAGCTCTAAATCAAAAGTGGCTCAGGAGCTCCACTGAGGGAATGCAAATAGCAGGCTTTTATAGGATAAATAGGCGAGTAAAGCAAAGAAAATATTTGATGGATTACAGTTACACTGTTGCCTTATTTGGCCTATCCTATTGGAAAGTCCCTAGTTATATAATTATAAATTTGTTGGCTGCTTCTGATTGGTTGAGCTTACATTCTGTTTTCTCTGAATATAGGTATTTATGAGCTGTAGCTCAAATTAACTTTTGCTCTTATTTGCAAATCCAGCAAGGTTAAGGTCATTTATGCGGCCTAACTGGCTTTGTTCTGCTCAGGGATTTCTCAGGCCCAGTTTCCATTTAAATTTACCATAATACCTCCTAATTTTCAAAATATAAACTGTGCCTGAAACTAATACGGTCCTAATTTGGTGTCCATGAGAAATTAGTTCCAGGACCCTTGTGAATACCAAAATTTGTAGATGCTTAAGTTCCTTATATAAAATGGTGTCTTATATTATGTGCATATAAACTATGTACATCCTCCTATACTCTAATCTCTAAATTACTTATAATATTTAACACAATGTACATGCTATGCAAATAGCTGTTATATGTATTTTTATTTGTATTATTTTCTATTGTTATATTGGTTTTTTATTGTTTTTTAAAATTATTTTCAATTTTTTTGTTAGTTGAATCTGCAGATGCAGAACCAGCAGTTATGGAGGACCAACTGTACTTACAGAATTTGTCACCTTGTATATCTGACTATAGCAATTAGACACATAAAATGGATTGGAGTACATAAAGAAATCTTGGAAAGGTAGAAGGAAAACAGAAATAGTATTTTTACTAAAATTACAGTCCCTGAAACATCAGCCTTTTAAAGGGGAGCAGAAACACAGCTTGCGAGGCTCCAAGCAAGTGGTCAGATGAAGGAGGGCAAATCAAAACAAAAAAGGAAATCAGGAAAATCCCTAAGTAAACCAGCATTTAGGGCCCCATCATGAGAAATGCACACACATTGTGAAAAAAGACATCATTATGTTGAATTGAATGTTGAATTAGCCCTGAACAAAATCCATAAGAGACTCATCTGGATTTTAGAGATACATACATCTGAGGTCCAATTTCTTCAAGAAAAACAAGAAATGGAGGTGGGCAATGTGAAAGGGAAGAGTAGGGTGGGATAAAGAAATTACTCAGTCTATGAGAATTCCTCCTACATTTTCCTTGGAAATTTGCAGTATAAATTCCTAAAATGACACTCAGCTCTTGGAACTCTGCTTACTCTCAGTAAATGTCCATGGAATAAGTGAATGAGGAAGAACAAGGAAGAATGACAACATGCAATATTTACAGATACACGTTCATCTTCCTTCATGAAATTTTCCTTACTTTCAACCAAAATATGGCCCAATCAGACTTCATGAAAATATTTATTTGTCAGAAATCTCTTATTTTACAGAGAAAGTAATATATATTCCTTTAGATTATTAGGTTAAGACGACAAATTCACTCCTTGGTTAATTTTCTTCCTTTCTGAGTGACAACAAGACAAAACACTGTACTTTACAATTTTTAGGCTTGTACCTTGCATGTTGATTCTTAACAATTTTGTATAAATAATAAATTAAGGTAGCGCAATGGATACAATTCATTACCCCATTCACTTACTTAGCAATTATTTACCAAGCATATACTATATCCAAGGTAGCTTCAAGTCATAAAAATCATACAGTGGCAGATATCAATGTAAAAATTTTAGGCTGTACTGGCATTAGATATTTCTCTCTCTCACTCTTTGTGTGTGCAGGTGTGTGTATACATACCTCCAAACTAGGTACACTAACTTTATATATCTAAACCATGTACACTAATTTAACATAATACAGCAGTTCAAATTGTGATTGATAAACAGTTATATGAGTCTATATACTGCCTCTATTAACCTGATATTTAACAATATAAAATTTCTACATTGGCTGGGTATTTGCCTATTTTAAGATGTTCAGATATTAAAAATTTATTCCTTTGTCTAGCAATCCTTCCTAGAATTCAGCAGCTCTATTAACTTTGTTTATATCCATATATCTTGCTATGGTTTGGATATGGTATGTTCCCCCCAAAACTCATGTTGAAATTTGCTTCCTTTTTTTTTGTGGTGGCAGTGCTCAGTGGGAGGCGTTTGAGTCACGGGGTGAATCCCTCATAAATAGATTAATGCCCTCAGGCAGGGGTTAGTGACTTCTCTTTGTACATGGGAATAGATCAGTACCCTTTAGAGTGGGTTGTTAAAAAGAGTCTATATTCTTTGGTTTCTCTCTCTTGCTTCCTCTCTCACCAAGTGATCTTTTTGCACATACTACCTCCCCTTCTGTCTTCCTCCATGAGTGGAAGCAGCATGAAGCCCTCGCCAAATGCAACTGCCCGCTCTTGAAACTTTCAGCCACCAGAATCAAGAGCCAAATAATCCTCTTATCTTTATAAATTACCTAGCCCCAAGTATTCTATCATAGCAACACCAAATGGACTAAGACATAACTTATGAAGGCTTGTGCTTTGAACAAGTTCTTTTTCTCCTCCTCTTTTGCTGTTTCCTCTGCTTCTTCCTTTGATGAGACAAAGCATACTCTCTTTTGGAAACCACTTATTTGTAATTTAATGCCTCAAGTTCACATCACGTTTACTTTTTAATTTGGTGCTAGATCCCATTCCCTTTATTCTTTCTAAATTTCATATGAAACTTACAATTGAGGAAACTAAGAGTTGAAGCAACTTGTCAAAGACATGTAGCTCATTTGTGGCATAGACAAGTGTTGAACCCAGGCTATTTGGCTCCAGTGTCCTCCTTGCTCTTTGTAATTGCACTAAATGCCTGTCTGTGCTGAGATCCCAACACAGATCAATAATAATGTAGGAGATAAATTACACAAAATTACTATAACATATTGCTACTTTTCTACAATATCCCTGTTTATCAAAACAAGATTAACATATGAAATGTTGCTACAGCAGATTGCTATTAAAAGATTTCTGATATAAGTTGTCACCAAAGTCATGAATGACAATGATCCCTATGTATATTTGAAGATGTTAAAGGATGGGAGGAAAAGATCTATGGGAAATAAATATGTGACAGCAACATTTTGAAAAGCTATCTTAAGAGAATGAAAATACAGTTTGATAATATGATGTGTGTTACAAGAGTGAGGAGAAGCAAACACATATATTGCTGGTAGAAATATAACTTTGTAAAACCTCTTTGGAGTGCAATTTGGTAATATATATCAATATTTATAATGCACTTATCTTTTGACTCAGCAGTTCTACTTTTAGGAATTTATCCAATAGATCTTCTTATACATGTATGCATTAACTAATGAACAAAAGTATATACTTCTTACATTTTTAGTAGTAAAAAGCTGAGAAAAATTTAAATGTACGGTGCTGATTTAATAAAATATAGCACCCCCCTAAAATGAAATGTTATGTGGCTATTAGACGGAATAAAATAAACCTATATATTCTTACATGGAATAGTCTCTAAGACATTTTTAGTGGAAAAATAAGATGTGGAAAAGCTTGTTGGTATTTGTGTCAAAAAGAAGGAGGAGCAGAAAGAAGAAAAGGAGAAGAACGTGGATATAATTATATGTTGTATACTCATAGGCTACCCCTGAAAGAAGATACAAAAATCCCTAATAAATTTGGTTGCCTTTGGGAAAAGGAGTTTGAGGAATACGATGAGTGGGAAGAATTTTTACTATTTTGCCTTTTGTTCCATGTATAATCTTATTAACTATTTTAAAATAAACCAATCTGAATTAATATTTATTAAGAAGTGTTTAATATTATATATTTAGGAAGCATCCCACTATCATACTAAAATCTGGCTGTTATTGATACGATAAATATTGTTACACTTGAAGTGTTCTATATGTTACAAGAAATATAAAACATACCAAAAGAAGCAAAAATATGCGTTATGAAGATAGAAACTCTGAAGTGCAATGCTTATAGCTTGCTTATAGTTTGACAGAGAATACATTATGATACATAGGCTCTTGCTTTTCCATCTCTGCTAAGATTCTAATAAGTGGCATCACCAGGTAAATGGCTGACAGTAATGATTACTTGACTTTTAAAATGGATACCAAAGAGGGTTCTACAATTTCCTTTGAGAATGACTTTTAGTGATGAAGAAGTCAGCCCTCCTTATTGGTCTGAGGCAAGAGTTTCTGAGTTAAAGGAAAGAGCTAAACAATTTGGCTCTGAGATTCTCAGATAAACGATTCGTAAAGATGAAATAACATATTCTTGTACCATGGAGAGGAAAGACAGAGTAAAAGAAAGAGAAGAAAACCATAAGTCCAGTATAATAAACTGCAGCTCACTAAACTATGCCTAAATTAAGCAATAACCACCCACATGCTGTTAATTTTTCCAAAGCACTGGAAATGGAGTCTGCTTAGAAACTTAAGGCAGAGAAGCTAAGGGAAAAGGCAAAAAAAAAAAAAAAAAAAAAAGAAAGAAACAAATTATCCAAGCAAGTCCAAGAGGAGAAAGACTCAAACACTAGTAGTCTTGGGAGATAAAATTTGCAGATATCATATCCTTGTGATGTTATTTTCATACATCTCTGAGATTACTGTGCACCTCTATGATGAATCAAAGGTATCAGCTTATATAGGGAATACACAAGATCATCAAAGCTATTCTCTGACACAAATAACTCTATTGTGGCACTTAAGTGTCTTAAGGTCAATATATTTTTGTACAGCACACTACTTCCTTTCTCCTCTGTGTCTAAGAAGAAAAAATAAACCTTGTCACAGAGAAATTAGTGGGTCTTCAGGTTCAAAGTAATTAGTGAGAGAGACACTGTTACATATACCTAAATAATCAGGCTTATACACAAACTCACAATTTCCATGCCACATATACACTCCATTTTAGAAAGATAATGAAGATGGCCACAACACAGAAGAATTAGCGTTTGAGAGGAAAGAGAAATAGAAAAAGAAAGAAAAAGTTGAAATTCATTAATATGTGTTTACTGTATTCATTCAAGCTATCCATATATTTAATTATTATTAGTTCTCTATATTCATTCATACTGCACATGGCTTGAAAGGGATAGAATAAATTAGTGGCTAGGAAATCACAGGGAAAGGCACAATCAGACAAGGTCAAAGACAAAAAGTCATTTTCCATACTTTCACTTGCGCACTCATGACACCAACGAGAAGTTCATACCTGTTTTCAGAACCGCGTGCCTCTTAGGTTACTGCCAGCCTTATGGAACTACAGCCATAGGAACAGGACATTTCCTCCAGAAATTCTCCAGAAAACAGCCCTGGTTCTTTTTGCTTTTGTTTTTGTTTTTGTTTTTGAGATGGAGTCTCGCTCAGTCGCCAGGCTGGAGTGCAGTGGCACAATCTCAGCACACTGCAACCTCCGCCTCCTGGATTCAAGCGATTCTCCTGCCTCAGCCTCCCGAGTAGCTGGGACTACAGGTGCACACCACCACACCCGGCTAATTTTTGTATTTTTAGTAGAAATGGGGTTTCACCATGTTGGCCAGGATGGTCTCGATCCCTTGACCTCGTAATCTGCCTACCTCGGCCTCCCAAAGTGCTGGCATTACAGGTGTGAGCTACCACATCCGGCCAGTTCTGTTTTCCTTTAGTAGTGTTCCAGGTCACCCTGTAGTTCAATTCGCCATGATGGCTGCCAACTCTGTTGTTCTTTTGCAATTTAAAAATAAATTCTAAGCTAGAACTATATGTATTAAGTGTATTAAGAAATACATTCCCGCCAGATGAATCAAATTCAGCAACAAACTTGATTCAACCAAAGACCTTGATTTACACACTCTGTAATATATGTTTATTGATAGTAACTAGAGAGCAATTTATGGTGTGGTATTCTTGGAGGATTTGGAAAGCAGGAGTAGTAGGATTTGTAATGAATAATAATGAATATATCATAGATACCATGAGGAAAGACAAAGTATTAAAAAAGAGAAGTTAAGAAAGGCAGAAAGAAGAGCTGATTAGAAAATTGCTTTTCTTCTTGGGAGGAAATACTTGGCATGGAACTGGGCCATAGTCTCTGACAAAAGGGCCAGGAAGTGAAGCCAAAAGGAAGAAGGCTAGAAGAAAACTGCTTTTTTTCCCCTCAAGATCACCCTTCTCTCTCATGGCCCATTGATTTCTCTCGATGCTGGAAGATCATCCTTCTTTTTCATGCTCTTGTCTCCATTAAAGAGTGTCACAGAATGCCTTGGAAATAGCCATTTCCCAGAACAAACAACATTTTATAGCAGATGAACAGGAAAAAAAAATAGCTGATGTCATTCAGTATTTTACCCAAGTGACTTTTCAGAGGACAGGCATTCTAAAAAAGAATGACTGAAAAAGTTCACAAACTTATAATCCACCTTGATTCAAATTTAATTCAGTATTTCCCTTCAAGGGGGAAAAAAAAAAGAAGCTCTGTTTTGAAAATTAAGCAAGGTACCCTATGACTTCTATTGAAATAGCAGCAAGAGGTAAGGCTCAGGGAAAACCTCCTCTCCCTCAAACCCAGGGTGCAAATACTCTCACAGTTGAAAATCAGATAAGAGTAAGGACCGGCACACCTATTACAGAGACAATGTGAGATCCTGTAACAGGTCAAGCTATGAAATCTGACATGGAGTCAATAAGAAGAGGGGCTTAGAAGTTCGGATCATGTAGGCCCTTTTTCTCTCCAAATTTAATTGCATAGTCTTCTCAAACTTTTCCACTCAAATGCCAATAATACCAGGGATGAAATAGAGAAGATTCACAATAAAAATGAAATGTCTTTGAATTCTTATGTTTTTTTCTTAAAGATTTATGCTTATTTGCATTCTTCTGCATAATATATCAACTTGGTTTCAATTTAAACTTTTACTCCATATTAACAATTAAAATTAGCTTCAGAAAAAAAATGTATTATATTTACTTTGTGACTCTACATAACCCTAGATACGTGGTTACATTGTTTAGCTCTAAAGGTGTTAGATTAGTTTAAAAGACCCATGTATATTTGTTTTTTCCAGTCAAACACTGGTCAACCATTGAGCACTGTATTATTTCTCTGATATTAAATTTCCAACAAAATAAATGTTCTTAGTACATTAAAGGTTTATTGTGAAAATCTCAAAAACAATTTCCAAAATCTAATCTTGATTCTTTATGTAAGTATTGAATTGAAATCAGTTATATTCTTTCTATACTTTGTGATCAAAGCTGGGAATATAACTTTGCTGACATATTTTCCTCTCAATGCTGTTTTTGGTGGGGTGTAAATAGAAAATATTTTATCAGATTAAGAAAACCTGCTGTCATCTGTGTCACCATCTTCCCAACAGAGGTAATCCTGGGAGTTGTCTTATGATGACTTTCCGTGGCTGATCATGTGGAATATATGGGATTGACTTCATGAGAAAGTGTGGATAGAACAGCAAAAGCAAATTCTGATATCCTGATTAAATAACTGCCTCAGTTCCCTGTTCTCCAAATAAGTCTCTGAAGCTAGAAGATGCTAGATGTAGCTTCGGATACGAGGCTTTCCACCTTCATGCTGGGTTTCCACCTTATTTCCTTCTGAAAACCAATGCAAAAGGAAAGAGAAAATATTTCCATAGAAATGCCATTAAAATTTTTTGAAGAAGCAAGATACAATGACTATATAACAATTTGTCTAATTCCATGTACATAAAATGTCCAAAAAAGGCATATTTATTGGAACAAAGCACACCAATAGTTACCTAGGACGATGGGTAGGAGCAGGGATTAGCTACAAATGACCAGAAAAGAAATCTTGGGGATGATGGAAATGTTCTAAAATGTGATTGTGGTGATATTTGGACAACTTTATAAGTTTAATTATCATCCTTAAACTGTAGGTTTATGATGGGTAAATGTAGTGGTATGAAAATTGTATCTCAATAAAGCTGCTTAAAAAAACAAACAAACCAAAAAAACAGGAACAGAAAACTCCAGGCTTTGGAGAGAAAGGATGTTTCAATTAGGCTTTTAATGATCTAAATATCATGACAAATTTCTGGCTAATTAGAAATATTTAAACACAGAAAATAGGCCATTGCTTAAAATAACTGTAAGTGATGCCAAGACAAGGATAAAGCACTCTATTTAGTAAGCAGTTGCTTATATCGATATTTTAAATTTCTTCTTTTTGTGTTAACTTAGATGGAACATTTGCCCCCCAAAAAGTAGAATTGGGCTTTATTAGTTTGTCATGCCTATAATATATCTTCTACCAAGAAAGAAGTTTAAACTAGCACCTATAAAAGACTTACTAGGATGGAATCAACAAGTAAACCAAATGTAAAAGTTGGATTTTTCCTAGTGAGGAAAGAATTTTAAAGATGATGAGATACTATGGAGAATTACATGTGCTAGATATCAACTAATCCAGTTTTTCTTCTCCTGGGTGCACTAGCCGACTACATTTCCCAGCTTCCTTTGCATGTAGGATGGAGTCATGTCTAGCAAACCAAATATGGATAGAAGCGATGTTTGTTACTTCCAGGCAAGGCAATAAAACCTACTGCACAACCACCCAAGCTCTCTCTCTCTCTCTCTTCCCTACGGATACAGCCAGAAGTAAAGAACTCCGAGGTGGTGGACCCACCTCATGGAAGGATCCTAGATCCCTGAATTACCTCTTTGAAGAGAGCTGTCTGGGAAAACTGACCAATTAGCATTGGACTTTGACTGAACAAGAAATAAAACCTTCTTTTGTTGAGCCATTATAATGTTGGGATTGCTTGTTACAGTAGTTAGTATTAATAAGCCTAATATAATATGCTATAGTACTCAAAGCATATTTCTTCCTTTGTTCCTTTCATCATCTAGGCCTATTCTTTCTCTTGTGCCTATTCTTCCTATTTATCTTCATATTCCCCTTCTACATGTTGACTCAAGCTAATGTTTACTTCTAAGGAAGAGGAAGAAATACATGAGTAGTTTTCATCCTGTGCCTTGTTAGGACCCTTCTTCAAGAACTAGGGTATCTGAATGGGATAAGGTGAAAATAATACTGCAGTTCTTCCTTTTGCAGAGACAGAGTGTGTCTCAAGTCTTTGGTTAAAGTGTTGCCTTATCACCAATAGCAGTGATCTGCCCACCTGCTAGAAGTTCCCAACAGAGATAAATACTGGGAAAGAAATGTCAGAGTTGGCAGCCACCTGTGGGTCAAGAACAGTGCTTTTATTTTCTAAACTGTTTGGTAGTGGAGAAGTGCATGCTGGTTGCCCTAAAGCTTTTTGTTCACTCTCAGAGTTACCTCCCAAAAACAATAAATCATCATTTCAACTTGATTTTTCATTATTTCATTATTCATGTGCCCTTGCCTTCTTTTCTTCATATAGAGCAAATGCAAGGAAAGAAGAGAGGACCTGCCCTCACTTCAGAAACCACACCCAAAACCACACTCAGCCCTTCACCCTCACCCAGCCCCCCATCTTCTTAGCCCCAGGTCCCCCCCACTCCATTGTTAAAAGAAAAAATAATTCAAATAAAAAACAGCTCATAAAACAGTAAACAAAATAAAGTCAGTTTTGTTTTTTTTTTTTAAAGAACAAAATGAAACTTGAGGGAAAACTTACTGGAGTTACAGTTTATCCTGATACAGTCTAGATGGGGAAAAATAAATGAAAGATGAAATTGCATCCTTCAAGGTAACAGCTGCAGACATCCAAAAACAATCAGTCCACCCTTCCGGGGACAGACACACGTAAGAAATGTGGCCATTTTATATATATAAAGTATGTACAAGTTTAAGGGTGGGTGTATATGTACAGTATATTATTTAGTAAAGTTGGATACATATATATATACACACACACACATATATATACACATATGTATAGAGATATATACTGGTATACATATATATCCACAGTAGACACCAAACATTTTTTTTTTTTCAAAAAAAGCTATTCTTTTATATAAAGTATTTCAAACCTGGACTTTGAAATATTAATTTTGTCAAACTTGGAAAAATAGGCAATAATTCCCCCCACCAAATGCAGGTTATATTCTATTTTCCTCTATAATTTATTTTCTTAAAATTCGTTTTTAAAGTAGCATTAACACAATTTTTGTATTAGTATTCCAAAGACATATCACCAGTCTGACTGATTGTATCATTTAAAAAATCTGCCCATGAAGTTGCTCAGTGACGTACTTAACCCTTTCTCTTTTTCTAAAATCAAACTCCCTCCACCCTCTCCTTAGGTTGGGCCCCAAATGCTATAGAAATTTGCATAGGCACACTTGCCATCTTCCTTAGTGGTAAGGAAAGGGTTAACACCACCTGGTCATTTCCTGTCATAAAATGGCCACTTGCAAACAGCTAACCGCACAAACACCCATCCCAGATTTTAGAGAGGTGGGGTCGGGTGTAGGGTCAAAGGAGTTGTATGATGTTATCACAATGAATTGGGTTCTCTGATTGCTAGTGATTCAAAGGCTCCCAGATCAACCCCCTCGCGCAGCCCATCTCTGTCTTCCTGCCTGAATACGCAGACTGAATCAAGTGCCCACAGCATTCAGGGAGAAGGCAAGCCAGGCACGTGTGGAGGAGGTCTCGGCACCTTTGACATCTTGAGTATTTTTCACTCTGTGATTCCACATCTTGAGGAGAGAAAATTTTTTGGTTTTTGTTTCACTTTTTTAAATGGGAAAGGGAGGGAAGAAAAGAGTGACCAACTGGCCAGAGCTAGTAATCAGACAAGGTATTCTGTGCCAGAGATCAGCATATCTATCATTGTATTAATCTCTGCTTGGGAGTCATGGACACACAACATAGAAGTCCTTGAGTAGAATCAGTGGGCATAGTAGGGGACTGGGCAGAAAAGGTCAGAGAAAGGTCTCAGGTTAGTTGTTACCAAGCTGCCCGGTTCAGCCTAAGGTTGGTTTATCATGGTGGAAATTCCAATAAGGATTTGTTTACCGTTAGATACTAAAAGGTAGAAGCGAAATGATTTTTTTTTTAAAGGAAGAAAGATAGAGGGGAAAATATAGTCACAAAGTACTCTTCTTCTGCTTAAGGTTGACCCAGTAGTTTTTAGAGGACTTGTCAAGGATGATGCCACCATTTGAATTCCCCAAAGTGAATCATTTTAAAGGAGCAAGAATAAAGGGGAGAATGAAGCTACGTGAAATCTGGAGAGGAGCGATTTATAGCACCCAGTTATTCTGAGTAAGGAGGCAGAATGCTTATTTGTTCCCGAGAAGAACATCTCTTGAGAAAAATCTGGGTTTGGTTTCGTGCGGTTAGGTTTGTCATGTGTCGTCAACCGCAACAGAAAAGTGGGAGCAAACAGCCCTGGAGCAACCGGTATGATTACCAGACAGAGGAGGCCATGCCCCTGGTGAGGACTGGAAGGAGGGAGGGCAGGGAGGGAGGAAGAGGTGATGGCTTCAGCTACTGACTGCACCTACCATCACCCAAAGCTGGAGAAATGTCCCTTCCTGACATATTAAAGAGAGAGAGGAAACTGGTGTATGGGCACGCTTATGAGAGGAAGAGTGAGCCTAAAGCAACAAACCCAAGGACTGCAAACAACAAGTGGGTTTTGTCTTCGGCTTCTGCATAGCTGAGGATTTTATTATTAGACAAGAAGCTGGCCTAGTGAGAGGTGGTGGCTTGGGCTCATCTTTCTGGATCACTCAAATGATTTCATGTAAAGTGGATGCGGTCTTTAAACCAATGTAAGAGCTTGGCGCTTTCAAGATGGCAGACAGTTTGTTTACTTTACCTCAATATGTGAAGAATTACTTTGTTATTTTACCTGAAGAACAAGTGGTTTGAGAAGGAAAATCTATCCCAGAGCCTTCTTGATAGGCTCTGAGGGGGTGTTCTTGTTACTGAATGTGTATGTATATATGTATAAATATGTGTGTGTGTGCGTGTGTATATAGACACACGCACACATACACATTTATATATGTGGTTTTTTAAATAAAAAATATGAGTCAAAGAACTGAGTTGGGAAGGCAATTTCCTTTAAATCTACGTTTGGTAGCAGCCAGACTTTTTGCTTGAAAAAAGTCTGCCTAAGTCTTGGCATATCTTTTGATGTGTATGTGTTCATATCTGTGTGTTGCCTGTTTTAATTTTGTTTTGTTTTAAATTATGGTAAATGATAGAAAGTTTTTTTCTTTCTTTCTCTTTCTTTTTCTTTTCTTTCTTTTTTTTTTTTTTTTTTTTTGAGACAGAATCTCACTTTATTGCCCAGGTTTGAGTGCAATGGTGAGATCTCGGCTCACTGCAACCTCCACCTCCTGTGTTCAAGCGATTCTCCTGCCTCAGCCTCTCGAGTAGCTGGGATCACAGGCACGCACCACCAAGCCCAGGTAATTTTTGTATTTTAGTAGAGATGAGGTTTCACCATGTTGGCCAGGCTGGTCTCCTGACCTCGTGATGGGCTGCCTCGGCCTCCCAAAGAGCTGGGATTACAGGCCTAAGTGTCTGTAATTAGATTAAGGTGCCTGGCCAAGAAAGTTTTTCTCGTTGTTGAGCTTTGGGTCGAGCATGGAAGAGGTAAATGTTTCTAAGAGCTGTGTGTCTTCAATAATGTGTTTGGTAAACAGTAATAGCAAGTCCACATTTCCAGAGAGAGAACATCTGGAGAATTCAAATGCAATTTACCAAACTACATGCCACTCCCTCAGAGTCTGCCATTGAAGAAGGGCTCCTGGCACTCTGCTAAGGATCTTTTAAAGGTTTTGTCCATATCAACTGTCTTTTCCCTAGTGCAGCTCAATTCAAACTGGGCACTGAGGAAAATGGAGATTCTCTCTGTGTGTGTTTCAAAGGTGACCATCATAAAAACAATTGGAAGCCATTAAGACTAACACATCATTGACCCATAGTGCTGATCTGTGAAGGAAACAAATAACGCAGGCTGATCTAGCAGTTTAGAGACATGGGTTCTAGTTCCAGCTCTGTCTCCAACTTTTTATGTAAGCTTTGAAAAGTAATATATTTCTCTCTGTGCTACACATCTGTAAAAGTAAGCATAAAAACACTTGCTTGATTTATCTCACAAAATTATCATGAGATTATCATTAATCGCATGAGATCCATGAGATCATGAGATTAAAATAAGATAAGGTCTTTTAAATCTTTAAATATGCTGTAATAATAAAATGTTATAGCTTATAATTCTAAAGAATCAAAATATGGTTGATCAATAGTCAACCTCTCAACTTTTTAAAAGTTGTGCTGAGTTATAGGATATTTCTCATACCTGTTAGCACCACATATGGCTGCCTGCAGAAGATAAAGCCATTGGAAAACCCTAGTCTCCTTGACATTTGGAAGATATGTTACATCAGAGAAATATATACTAGGCTTTTATATCATGAATGCATATGTGTGATCAATTTGAAATAAACTAAAATATTGTTAGTGCATGGGCTAGAAAAAAGACACAACTTGAATAGAGTGAGGGAGCAAAGTGATCATTTGAAATTAATTTTGGTGGAATGCATGTGAAGACAAATTCTACTTGGATACATTTTCTTCTGTAATTGAGAAAAATGAAACACAAATTCACGGCAAAGAGAAAGAAAATATTTGCAAAGGGGTATATTTTGGGGAGGGAACGGAAGGAAAACCTTTAAACAAGGCGTGGATATGAAGAGCTGCATTTACACAAGCATGAGAGTTTAAGTTCAGTTTTCCATGTCAGGTTGGAAAGAAAGTTAAATAAATTCAAACCAGTAATTATGATGAACCTATCCTTTGGTGTAAAAAAAATTAACTATGGCTTCTGGACAAGCACAGTGCTCTCTACAGAGAGGCTACCTCTCCTTTGCCTGAGATGGTTCAACGCAGCAGGAGCTAGATTGAAATTGCAACAAAAGAAGCCAAAGGGGAAAAAAAAAAAAAAAAAGCAAAGTCTATTGGAAAAGCACATCTCTCAGACTTTGACTAGAGTTTAAAATACAAAAATAATGCTTCTAGAAATGCATGTGGGATGTATGACCAACTCAAGGTGTATGTGTGTGTGTGTGAGAGAGAGAATGAGAATCTGTACACTTATTTCCTTATTTCTTATACGCTTTTATTTGTACCCCCACTGACCCCAGTTTTTCCTTCTAAGATGTGAGACCTGTCAAAGTTGACACTCTAATCTTTACTAAACAACACCTAATGGGGAAAAAAATGTCTGTTTAATGACACTGTGTACACTCCCTCAGGATCGCGTGGGGCTGAATCATTCTCATATGTTTGTCTCTCTCTGACTTTGAAATAGATCCAGAGATAAAAATTGTCTTCATCATCTTTTTCAGTGAGCTAGTTATGGGGTTGTATTTGGTTCTGTTTTTTTTTTTTTTCTGTTGTTTTTTTCTGAGGAGATAATCAGCTGCTGGCTGTTGGTTTTAGGTAACACACTCTTATATTGATTTAAGGTGGGTAGGATGGTGCAGGGATGGAAGGTAGTAGGGTCAGGGGTATGCCAGTCTCTGTAGGCTGCTCAATACGCTGTGTTCTCAAGGCTGTTTGCTATGCGGGCCGCAGGCTTTGGGCCTTTGAAGGGTTGAATACCATCTTTTGATTTACCATGGTTGATGGCGGGGAGGATTGGAAACTCAGGAACACACGCACACAAAAAGATCCAGCAAAAGAAAAAAATATAACCTAAAATGACCAAACACACAATACACAAACAAAAGAAAAACCAAGAGACACACTGACAACAGAAATCAAATGAAGTTGGACAAGAAAAAGAGCACGGTACTGTAAACACTGAAAACTAGAAGAAAAAAAAAAGACATAACTAAAGAAGTCACTGCTCAAAACAGTCCTTTGTGTCCCAGAGATTTTAGGTTTATGATGTAGGCATTTTCCAAGTGTGTCCAGTTGACCTGACAGCAGATAAGATTGGTATGGATTCAAAAACCCCACCTTCCCACCAGGACATGTGGGCCTACATATGATCTTGCATCTGGTACATTTGTTCATCATTTTTTCTCCATGGCTCTGACAAACCATTTCACTGAAATCTTTATAAGGTATCACTGTATCCAAACATATTCTACGTACCCAAATACATTCACTAGCTTAGAAAGTTTGGACCCAGCTGTCTCACTAATCTTATCAATGCTGGGTATTGACTTTCTGCTGATTAGAAACAGCAGAAATGGAGTGTTTGTTTGTTTTTTCCTTGCCAAAAACCAAGAGGATCCCAATCTCTATAGAATATCAATTAGAATTCAGTAAAGGTCAATAGCAGAAGAGAATATGAGGCCATATAAAGGAAAATTTCTAAAGATTCTGTTATAGGTAATTACAATGAAAGAGAAAATCCTATTCCAATAAAGCCACAAATTTGAAGTCATAATTTTTCAACTCTGAGGTAAAATAGATATGTATTATATAAGAAGAAGAGAGTTATTAGTGAGTGATAGTACAAGGTAACAATCTTTGCACAAGGGGATGCTGAGTGATGGTTAAGAATGTCAAGAAGAAAAATGGGTATACGTATCAGGAGACACATTTTCCTTCCACGTGTCACAGACTCAACTTAGGGAATTATTTTCCAAGGGAACAACAATCTACTTGTCCTCCCTCTAGGAGAAAGTCAAAGGAGATATCAGTGTCATCAAGGCCACCAGAATTCTCCATTTGAATAGTAGCTGTGGAGCTAGAAACAATGTACTTCTCACCCTACCCACAAAGTTTAATTTCCTACAACCCCACCATCAACATTTTGCCTCCACTTCCTGCCCTGTCCCTGACCTCAGCTGTGACTGTTTTGAGTGGTGACTGAGGAGTTGGACTTATGGGAATATGATTGATCAAAAGATGGACCAAAGTAGCGTGTTTTACACAAAGCTAAACGATTCCAAAAAACCAAGAAAGGAAACTTAGAAAACAAATAATCTAGTAAAGAAATCACCACTGTCAGAAACCAGAAATTGACATCAAAACCTCATGCAGAAACAAGGAGAAGGTGATCGCTGCTGTTGGGTTTTATCCTGGGTCTGTTAAACAAGAGGTGAGCAGCTAACTTTCAAGAAACAAACAAAGAATTCAATCAAACCAATGAAAATCAGAAAAGAAAGGGAAGACAAGCCCAAACGAAGTGGCAGAGGGTACTTCATACGATACCTAAGTTAACCATGAGCTTGACACGCCCCCCATCCAGCTCCAGACGCAGGGTGTCGGCAGAGTCCCTGGAGGTCGTAGCCACCAGCAGCCCATAAGCTCGCTGGGACATGAAGCGGAAGGACACATCCTCTGCCTCAGTATGCATGACCATGGGCATGATGATCTTCATGTACATGCTACCATCATAGCTCAGGATGGATGCCTCTGCCAAAGAAGAATGGAGAAGATCGTTAGGATGACGGATGTCACAGTTGCCAAATACCCCTTTGCTTTCAGGCTAAGCGAGTAGAGAGGGTGCCAGATTTGTAGCCTAGTGACTTGTGTTTGATGAACCCTTGTTGTTACCACCTTTTAATCTGTGTGACGCTGGGCAGACCACTTAACCTCTGAGGCTCTATTTCCTCATTTGTAAGGGGATTATGATGACACAGGTACCTGCCCTACCAGGCTCATAGACTTGTGAAGGGTACCAAATTAAATAATGGATATGAAGATATTTTGAAAAAGTCAAAACGCCCCTCACAAATAGTATTGTTTGCAATTCTGTATGCGATAGATAAAACACAAGTACATAAAACAAAACTTAGAATCCCTGTATTTCATGAAGAATAGGAGGAGAGCAGCAGTTTATAACCACCAGAGCAGACAAATCGATATTTACCAGAGAGCTTTTAAAGGAAGGAAAAAGTAGCAGCATGGTCTGGCATCATAACATCCCCAGTGTCCAGCCATTGTGAGAGTTTGGCCCATTCAAAGAATATCTGATAGAGGCAGAGTTAGAACAATAACATAAAGCTAATGACACCCTTGAAAAACTCATTTTACTTTTATTCAAATAGGGAAAGAGGAAAACTGACTTATTTTTATTTTTTATTTTTTTGAGACAGTCTCACTCTGTTGCCTAGGCTGGAGTGCAGCAGTGTGATCTTCGCTCACTGCAGCCTCTGCCTCCCTGGTTCAAGCAATTCTCCTGCCTCAGCCTACCGAGCAGCTGGGATTACAGGCGCATGCCACCATGCCCAGCTGATTTTTAGATATTTTGTAGAGATGGGTTTTTGCCATGTTGCCCAGGCTGGTCTTGAACTCCTGACCTCAAACAATCCACCCACCTTGGCCTCCCAAAGTGCTGGGATTACAAACGTGAGCCCACTGCGCCTGGCTGAAAACTCACTTTTATTTGATACCTTCCTCAGTCTGAGGTTACCGACAATTTGTTACCTCGATTAACACTATAGTGTGATTCTATTATTCCTACTTGCAGACAAGAAAACCAAGACTTTTTTTATTATTATTATACTTTAAGTTTTAGGGTACATGTGCACAACGTGCAGGTTAGTTACATATGTATACATGTGCCATGTTGGTGTGCTGCACCCATTGACTCGTCATTTAACATTAGGTATATCTCCTAATGCTATCCCTCCCACCTCCCGCCACCCCACAACAGGCCCCAGTGTGTGATGTTCCCCTTCCTGTGTCCATGTGTTCTCATTGTTCAGTTCCCACCTATGAGTGAGAACATGTGGTGTTTGGGAAAACCAAGACTCTTAAAGGGGTATGTTATCATCCCAAAGTCACACAGCATCTCTGGATTTGACTCAATATATCTGATACCAAGTCCAGGGGCTGTTTTGAAACACTATGATGTTCAACATGTGAATTTGTTTAAATATTCACTAGGCAAATAATTTTAGAAAACACAGGAAGAGAATATCACTCACATTCCTAGGAATCAAACCAGTCATTGGGTTCAGTATCTGTCACTGAGTAGGTCTTTATTAAATATTGGCTGTTGTCAAATATTTGCTACCTACATGCACTATGGAGAATACAAAGGTGAAACAGACAAGGTCCCTGTTCTAAAGGGAGACACAGAATGCACAAGTAACTGTACTGGAACATACAAGTGGTTAAATGACACAGGAAATAAATACAAAGCAAGTAACATTCAGAGGAGGGAAGCTGAAGGATGAAGGCAATTAAGGCAGATGGGATAGAGTCTGTGTTGGTCTTGGTAGATGGGTAGGGTTTGTAATGAAAGAAGCAATGGCATCATATTGAACAGGTAGATCAGGTAGTATCTCTATAGACATAAAGGAAAGAAAGAAGGAGGATGCTCAGATTATAACAAACTATTCAATTTAACAGAAACATCTGATGTGGTTTGGCTCTGTGTCCCCACCCAAATCTCATCTCAAATTGTAATTTTCATAATCCCTATGTGTCGAAGGAGGGGCCTAGTGGGAGATAATTGGATCATGGGGGTGGTTTCCCCCATGCTGTTCTCATGAGTTCTCACACTATCTGATGGTTTTGTAAGTGTTTGACAGTTCCTCCCTTCACATGCTCTTTTCTCTCCTGCCGCCTTGTGAAAAAGATGCCAGCTTCCCTTTCCATCAGATTGTAAGTTTCCTGAGGCCTCCCAAGCCATGCAGAACTGTGAGTCAATTAAACTTCTTTCCTTTATAAATTACCAGTCTCATGTATTTCTTTTCTTTTTTTTGAGACGGAGTCTCACTCTGTCATCCAGGCTGGAGTGCTGTAGCGCGATCTCGGCTCACTGCAAGCTCCGCCTCCCAGGTTCATGCCATTCTCTTGCTTCAGCCTTGCAAGTAGCTGGGACTACAGGCACCTGCCACCATGTGCGGCTAATTTTTTGTATTTTTAGTAGAGATAGGGTTTCATCGTGTTAGCCAGGATGGCCTCAATCTCATGACCTCTTGATCCGCCCTCCTTGGCCTCCCAAAGTGCTGGGATTACAGGCGTGAGCCACTGCGCCCGGCCTCATGTATTTCTTTAGAGCGGTGTGAAAACAGGCTAATACAGCATCAGACATATAATTTTTAAAATGGTTATCATGTAAGGTAGTTTGAGACCGGAATAAAATCAAAGGACTTGGGCATCTACTGGAAAGTAAATGGTTTTAGATTATGAGATACCATGATATATTCTTCTGTGCTTACTGATTGCCAGGCACTATTCTAGGTGATAGACGTAACAGTGAACAAAAGAGAAAAACACCCGTACCCTCATATCTAGAAAGAAGTGAAACAGGGAGAAACAAGAGTCAGGCAGACCACATTGAAGGGTCCCAAAATAGTCTGTGTTGTTATCATATCCCTACTCTGTTCAGATACCACACAAAAGATGAAAAGTAATATAAATGCACTTATGATAGTCCTGAAAATCAGCCATCTCCCAGGTAAAACTCATGACATGCTAACAGCTGCACATTACAATTTGCAAACTATAAAGCGATTACAGATAAAAGTGTGACAGTTGCAAACACCGTTACAATAAGACATATTATGAAGATCTCTTCTTAGATTGGAAACAATCTAAATTTAACACATGATCCAGATGTGAAGCAAAACAAAACAAATCTTTTATCTCCTGGAAGGGCAGAATCTAAAGAAGATCAATAATGATACCTAAAATTGAGCATTTACTATTCGCCTGGTGCTTTCTAGGACTTTATATGCATTAAGAAGTCATTTAATCTTCAAGAACACCATGAAGACTTTATTATCTCATTTTCTAGATATCAAGTAACATGGCTAATAAATGGCAGAACTGGGAGTTGCATGCAGGCGGTCTGATTCTCCCAGCTGTATACTTAACAGTCCTGCCAAATTGTCATAGAGCTATGCCTGGAGCACACCCATGCTTCCAAGCACCAAAGCACATCCATAATGCTTCATGATGGAAGTTCTTGTGTTTGTATGTGCACGCATATACAAACACGCCATTCATTAAAGTTATATATTATAAATATACAAAATTTTTATTTCTTCTATTCAGATTGCATAATCTCTATTGTTCTATTTTCAAGTTTGATTATTGATATGATTTGGCTGTGTCCCCGCCCCAACCTCATCTTGAATTGTAGTTCCAATAATTCCCACATATTGGGGGAGGGACCCTGTGGGAAATAATTGAATCATGGGGGCAGTTTCCCCCATACTGCTCTCATGGTAGTGAATAAGTCTCATAAGATCTGATGGTTTTATAACGAAAAACCCCTTTCGCTTAGCTCTCATTTTCTCTCTTGTCTACCATGATATAAGACAGGCCTTTTGACTTCCGCCATGATTGTGATTGTGAGGTGTCCCCAGCCACATGGAACTGTGAATCCATGAAACATATTTTTCTTTATAAATTATCCAGTCTCTGGTACATCTTTATCAGCAGCATGAAAATGGACTAATACAGTAAATTAGTACTGGGAGTGAGGCACTGCTGTAAAGATACCTGAAAATGTGGAAGCAACTTTGGAACTGGGTAACAGGCAGAAGTTGGAACAGTTTGGAGGGCTCAGGAAAAGACAGAAAAACATGGGAAAGTTTGGAACTTCCTAGAGACCTGTTGAATGGCTTTCACCAAAATGCTGACAATGAAATTCAGGCTGAGATGGTCTCAGATGGAATGAAGAACTTTTTGGGAACTGGAGTAAAGATGACTCTAGCTATGTTTTAGCAAATAGACTGGCAGCATTTTGTTCCATGCCCTAGAGATTTGTTGAACTTTGAACTTGAGGGAGATGATTTAGGGTAACTGGTGGAAGAAATTTCTAAGCAGCAAAGGATTCAAGAGGTAACTTCGGTGTCATTAAAAGCATTCAGTTTTAAAAGGAAAATAGAACACAAAGGTCCAAAAAAGTTGCAGCCTGACAATGTGATAGAAAAGAAAAACCCACTTTCTGAGGAGAAATTCAAGCCAGCTGCATAAATTTACATAAGTAATAAGGGGCCAAATGTTAATCGCCAAGACAATGAGGCAAATATTTCCAGGGTATGTCAGAGACCTTTATGGCAGCCTCTCCAACTGCAGGTGCCCCAGAAGCTAGGAGGAAACAATGGTTTTGTTTGTGGCTGAGCCACACCCCCAAACCCCTCGCTGTGTGCAGCCTAGGGACTTGGTGCCCTGTGTCCCAACCACTCACGCTATGGCTAAAAGGGGCCAAGGTAGAGCTCAGGCCGTGGCTTCAGATGGTTCAAGCCCCAAGCCTTGGCAGCTTCCATGTGATATTGAGCATGTGGGTACACGGAAGTCAAGAACTGAGGTTTGGGAGCCTCCACCTAGATTTCAGAGGATGTATGGAAATGCCTGGATGTCTAGGCAGAGATGGGCTCCAGGGGCAGAGCCCTCATGGAGAGCCTCTGCTAGGGCAGTGCCGAAGGGAAATGTGGGGTGTGAGCCCCCACACAGAGTCCCCACTGGGGCACTGCCTAGTGGAGCCGTGAGAAGAAGGCCACTGTCCTCCAGACCCCAGAATGGTAAATCCACTGACAGCTTGCACTGTGCACCTAGAAAAGCCATACAAACTCAAAACCAGCCCATGAAAGCTGCCAGGAGAGGAATTGTACTCTGCAAACCCACAGGGGTGGAGCTGCCCAAAGCCATGGGAACCCACCTCTTGCATCAGCATTACCCAGATGTGAGATATGGAGTCAAAGGAGATCATTTTGGAACTTTAAGGTTTAATGACCGACTTACTGGATTTGGGACTTGAATGGAGCCTGTAGCCCCTTTGTTTTGGCCAATTTCTCCCCTTTGGAATGGCTATATTTATGCAATGCCTGTACCCTGAATATATTTAGGAAGTAACTAACTTGCTTTTGATTTTACAGGCTCATAGGCAGAAGAGACTTGCCTTGTCTCAGATGAGACTTTGGACTGTGGACTTTTGAGTTAATGCTGAAATGAGTTAAGACTTTGGGGGACTGTTGGGAAAGCATGACTGGTTTTGAAATGTGAGGACATAAGATTTGGGAGGGGTCAGGGATGGAATGATATGGGTTAGCTGTGTTTCTACCCAAATCTCATCTTGAGTTGTAGCTCTCATAATTCCCGCATCTGTGGGAGGGACCTGGTGGGAGATAATTGAATCCTGGGGGCAGTTTCCCCCATACTCTACTCATCATAGTGAATAAGTCTCACAAAATCTGATGGTTTTATAGGAGGAAACCCCTTTTGCCTGGCTCTCATTTTCTCTCTTGTCTGCCACCATGTAAGAGGTGCCTTTTACCTTCCAATATGATTGTGAGGCATCCCAGTCACATGGAATTGTGAGTCCATTAAACCTCTTTTTTCATACCAATCACCCAGTCTCGGGTATGCCTTTATCGGTAGTATGAGAACAGACTAATACAATTATTTTATCTTCTGCCAACTCTAATCTACCATTGAGCTCGTCTAGTGAATTTTTCATTTAGGTTTTTGGACTTTTCAACTCTAAAATTTCTATTGGAAGATAGATGAATAGACATATACAATATGTATTAAAATTTCATTATTTTATTATCTACTTGATGAATCATTGTTCTCATTCTCCTTTAATTTTTAAGCATAATTTCCTTTAGTTATTTGAACATATTTATAATAGTTACTTGTATTCTTTGTCTATTAAGTCCAACATATGAGCCCACTCAAAGGCAGTTTCTATTGCCTGCATTTATTTCTGTGTATGGGTCACATTTCCTGTTTATTTGCATTCTCCTAATTTTTTATTGAAAGCTGGACTTTAGATAATACATTGTAACAAGTCTGGACACTAACCCTGTTCCTCTAGGTTTATTTCTAATTGTTTGTTCATATGTTCATTTATTTAGTGATTTGATAGAGATAATTCTGAGACTTGTATATTTTCGGCAGACGGCTCTCGTCTCCCCCCTCAGAAAGGTTCCCCTGTTTTTATCTTTTGGCTTGCCTTCCTGTGAGTGTATCAATATAAGTAACTTATTGATCAAATACTGTACTTAAGCCCCCTTGGTCAGTTAGATTTTTGCCCTTTGTCTGTTGTATATGTGTGACTTGGAGACTGCTTTGAGGAAGTTTATGATCTTGCCTCATGTTCAGCAAAGGACTGTTAGCTTAGAAATTATCCTCCTGTCACCCTTGAGATGTTTCAGCCTTCAGAATAAATACAGTCTTCCAGACCACCAAGAATGAACGATTTTGTTTTTAAGTTTGTTTTCCTAGGAATAGCACCTGAGTAAGAGTACCTTATTGTTCAGCCAGTGTTGGTTGAGAGATCACGTTTAAGCCTTCTGAACCAATAAGACTCTTCCTCCTGGATGAGGCATCTGTGTATGGCTTGAGAATGCTTTCAAATCTGCCCTGTGTCTTACTCTAATTACCTCTGAGTTGTGTAGCCTTGCAAATATGTACAACTTTCCATACCCTCAGGGATAAGTGTGATCCCCAGAGGGCTCTTCAGGGCTTTCTCATTCCCTGATTCTCTCTACTCGACTTCTGGCTGCTTTACCAGTTTGCTCATTGCTGCTGGTATCATAGAGCTGCCTGCTCCCTATAAGCTGCTTGCCATCAAGATCTCCATTGTTTAAGAAAACCCTTAGCCATGAACTTCTCTAACTTCTGTTCCAGATAGTCAGTGACTCCAGGCAGAGTGGAAACTCTTATTGTGACACTCTGCATCTATCCCTGGGCAGAATTTCTGTGCCATTACAGCCCAGTTGGTTGCACAAATAGCGGCCCACTTCCACCCGAGTGACACTACCATTGTATAAGTGGGAATTTGGGAAAGATGGTGGACTCTGGCCTTTTCAGCTTGCCCTTCCCAGCATGGAACCTCTGCCTTATAAGCAAGCTGAGGAAGAGACAATTGGACACGCATTATTATTGGTCTGCCACAATTGGTATAGAGCTTATACCCTATAAACGGGGGCTGGATAAAAGAAGTGAGCCCAATGTTCTTGGCTATGCCTACCCATAATACCGCTTCTGCAACATGAATCTGGGGAAAATGAGAGGCACCAGTAGCCTGCCTCTTCTGGGGTTGAACTGTAGCCCTAGACTGATAACTGGCAGGTAAGAAAGCTCTTGTCCTTTTGGCTTCCAAAACAAGGAGCAGGGGTGAGCTAGCGGATGGCAGCTGGTTACAGTTTAAATATCACACCTCTCATTTTTCTAACTGGTATTTAATAGATGTCTTGAATAAATGTTTTTCCATTTGCTGTGTGTCCTTATGACAATTTTTTAAATGTGTGTGTCTTAGCTTCTTTTGTGTGTGTATGTTTTAATAATTTTCACCAGCTAAACGATTGTTTCACAGAGAAGGTCTGCTAAGCTCACTCCTTTCCCACCCATTCCAGAGTTCCTCTATTTTTGGCTATTAAAAATATTTCACATACCTTTCTTCATAAAATTTTTCTTAGTCCCAAATGGTATATATCTGTATTTGTCATAGTAAGCCCATTTCTATTTCTAGAGGATATAATTAATTTTATTTAATCATTGTGTCATTTTAAAACACATTTTAGTACCAATTTTTGCTTTTACTGTCTGATTGTTTACTTATTGTCTGATTGCTTTTCAATCTCAATAATCAATGACTTCTCTCTAAATTTCCATCCTCTGACCAGTAAGAGGAAAACTATCTCCCCACTGGCATTCAGAGGCTCCTCCAAATAAAGGAAGGGATTGGCACTGGAAAATTGAGCAATATAATAATACTTACAATGGAAAAAGGTTTCTGTAAAATTATTGTGTTAAAGGAGCAATCCAGGGAGAAAGAAAATCATAGTATTTACTTTTTTATGTATGTTTCTTTTATCTGTACGATGCTTAAATTCCCTTAAAAATAAAAGCCACCCTTCCCAGTCTGTGTTAAACTTGTCTCAGAGAGTTATGATTTCCTCGGTCTTTCATTATCCTCCTCCCTTTTCAAAGAAAAATCAAATATCAAATTAAGAACTTTTTTCTTTTTTTGAGACAGAGTCTTGCTCTGTTACACAGGCTGGAGTGCAGTGGCACAATCATAGCTCACTTAACCTTGAATTCCTGGGCTCAAATAATTCTCTCACCTCAGCCTCCCAAGTAGCTAGGACTACAGGAGCACCACCACACCTGGCTACTTTTTTTTTTGTTTGTTTGTTTGTTTGTTTGTTTTTGTAAAGACAGGGTTTTGCCATGTTGCCAAGGCTGGTCTCTAACACCTGGACTCAAGTGATTCTCCTGCCTTGGCCTCCCAAAGTGCTGGGATTACAGATGTGAGCCACTGCATCTAGCCAGAGATTTAATTTTGTTAAATAGTACATGTTCATCATTTTAAAATATAAGAGATGTAGACATACATAAAGAAAAAAATTAAGCTTTTCAAATCATGCCATCATTAACAGTAGAGAGGCATATTTCTAGGTACTTTTCTAAGCATATATATATTATATACACACACACACACACACACACACACACAAATAGAATAGACAAACTCTTTAGAGGAAAATCTATATGTACTACTTTAATTAAACTAAACTTTAATATTACACAAAGTTAGCAAAAGAAAAAACTCCGAATTTCAACTACTTTTTATGAGGTACTACCTTCCAAGATAACTCACTAAAATTTACAAAAGATATTATTAAACACATAAGACAACTGGTGTTATTATTTGTTTCTGTTTTTTGTTTTTTGAAACAGAGTCTTGCTCTGTCGCTCTGTCACCCAGGTGGGAGTACAGTGGCGCAATCTTGGCTCACTGCAACCTTCGTCTCCCAGGTTCAAGCAATTCTTGAGCCTCAGCCTCCTGAGTAGCTGGAACTACAGGCACATGCCACCACACCCGGCTAATTTTTGTATTTTTAGTAGAGACGGGGTTTCCCATGTTGGTCAGGCTGGTCTCAAACTCCTGACCTCTCGGGTGATCTACCCGCCTCGGCCTCCCAAAGTGTTGTGATTACGGGTTTGAGCCACCATGCCCAGTCTGGTGTTATTATTTGAACTCCCTCCTGCAAATTTACCCAGTAAAACTGCCTTATTCCTATGAAAAATGAGAACATTATTCTTTGACATTTTCTCCTTCATCTATGATTTTTTGCTATTTTTATCACATATTGTGTAAGAAAGGGTTAACTCAAAAGATCTGAGTTGTTCAAACTGTGCACTCCCAAGAAAGGCCTATTTGCACGACTGGCCCTTCACCAGCTCCTGTGTATTGAGCTCATGGAATTTCTGAGTGGTAAGAGTGTTTTTGCAAGCCTAGGGCCTTGAGTCAGACTGTACCAGTTGGTCTAGATAGTTCATGCTAAGAATATAATTTATGATGAACACTTGCTTTCCCTCTGGGGTCTGGAGCCTCGGTAACTAAGTCAGTCATGTAAGCATCGTATGCCTATGTGACTGACCTCCGGTAAAAACCCTGGACTCCAGGGTTGCTTCCCTGGTTGACAACACTTCATGTGTGTTGCCACACATCACTGCTGGAGAAATTAGGAACATCCTTTGTGATTTAACTGGGAGAGGACTCTTGGAAACCTGTGCCTGGTTTCCTCCAGACTTTGCCCCCATGCGCCTTTTTCCATTGCTGATTTTACTCTGTAACTTTTGCTGTAATAAACCATACTCATAAACATTCTCATTTCTGGGTCCTATGAGTCCTTCTAGAGAGTGATGCAGATTGAGGGTGGTTTGGGGGACCTCTGACACATGTATACTTTGTTCTATATTTATAATGTGTACCATGTATTTCTTGCATATTTAAATGCCGTCACTGTTCTCACCAAGTGTTTCCATTTCTGAGTAACTTTATTTTCTTTTAAATGCTTGAATTTTATTGTAATGTCTTTTATTTTTTGGGGGGAGTATAGATTCAAGTTAAAAATAAGTTAGTTTACCCAGGTTGTTTTTTATTTTTGTGAGTACATAATTAATGATTATGTAAATAATATAGGTGTATATATTTATGGAGTACATGAGATATTTTGATACAGGCATGCAATGTGAAATAAGCACATCATGGAGAATGGGGTATCCATCCCCTCAAGCATTTATCCTTTGAATTACAAACAATCCAATTACACTCTTTAAATTATTTTAAAATGTACTGTTAAGTTATTGTATGGTAACAACATTTTTAAAAAGAGCTCATCTGTGTTATATTGTTATTATATGGTAACAACTTTTTAAAAAAGAACTCTTTAGTGTTATATTACCAAAGTTTGTTCGTATTTGTGAATGTCTGCTGGTGCTGTTTACATTTGAGTTACATTATGGTTGCAGATAATTCTTGTCCCACTTGATTTTATGCTCAATTTTATAGACATTGTTTTGTGTAATGAGATTGTATAATGCCAGCAATCTACCTCATAGGTGATAAGTGCTGTAAATTTTGCTTATATGCCTTAAGGATATTATTTTAATCCTTGAAGTCCAATGACTTGATCAATGCACATCTTAGCATTGAACATACTGTGTAGTTTTCTTACAACTTAACATGCTCTTTCAAACTTCAGAGTCAGTTCTTTATATTAAGAAAACTTTCCAGTTTGATACCTTTGAGTAATTTCTTTGTTGAAGTACTTAGGTTTTCTCTTTCAGGGATCTAATTATACCATCTGCCCTCTTTATATCTCAGTTTCTCTGTGATTAATTTAATCTCTGGTTTTTTTCATCAGCATTAACTGCGATATCTTCAGCACTTTCCCTCTGGCAATATTTCAATTTTTAGCCATATCTTTTCCACCCCCTGTTGTTACTAATTATTTCAAATTAGTTATGTGATCACATTGTTTTGGCTTTCCTTTTTTTTTTTTTTTTTTTTTTTTTTGCCTTTAGTCTACAATCTCCCTTTTCCTTTCAGATAATTTGTTTTTTTTTTTTCTTTGAGTTCTTGTGACATGAATTCAATTTTTCTTGAGTCATTCAATAATGCAAATTGAGCCATAGAATGTAGCTCACGGGAAATTTTCTGTTCTTTTGCTTTTTCTCTAGATCGAATTATTTGACTTTTCTAAGCTTTTTTTCCTTTTTTTAACTTTATTGTTCTGTTGCTTTGCATTTGTATTGCCATGTCATTCCCTTTTACCTTGCTTACACTCAGGCATCTCTGTCCAGAGTTCCTAATTGTTCAGACACAGTTTCGTTGACTTCTTGCCACCTAGAATTAGCTACGGTTTAATTGTGTAATATTTTGAGTTCTATACACTTTTTTTCTGTAGCTTCAGAGATGGCAGAATATGTTCAGGAAATGGAGGGAAGACATCAAGAGCTGTGTCAAGGCTATGGGTAAGCTTCATTTAGCTATCTGGACTGTGTCTTATTCCTGAAGCTTTGTTAAGTGTCCTATTCCAGAAGTCACCCTGCCTGGTTAAAGAGAACATCCCAAGGCAATGGAGGGGAATCCATGTGCTCCTGGTGACTTTTCTTTTGATTCTCAGTCCCGTTGTCTGTTTCTATTACATATATTTTTTTCTCCTATAGCCATTTCCACTACTCTTCAGTTTTCAGTGGGAACAGGTAAGAATATGTACTAAGTTTCTTTTCATATATAAGGATATTAGTAATAATTCTCAGCATTTTTACCAAGTGGATAGTACTGTACTTTAGGAACATAGGTGGGGCTAGCAGGCTCATCATGCTTGACCATTCCTCCTGGGTTGGCTTCAGAATTCTGTCTTGCTCCTAATTTTTGAGACTTATGACATTGGGTTGTACCCCTTTTCTTACTTTGGGATAATGATTATTTGGTTTGCATGTTCATTTTTGTTTAACTTGAAAGAGAAAACCCCTAGCAGGCAGCTGTTCTTCCTTTCTACCATTTTCCCACTTTCCTTTCTTTAATCAAATTAGTATATCTGAACATCCAAAGAGATAGAAAATAACTAAAACTTAGAGCTCAAAGTCTTCAATCTTACCAGTGCATATGTTGTTTTAGGTGTGATAAGGTCCTAATCAAAAAGAAAAGTAAAAACTATAAGGAAAATGGACTGTAGGAAGAGAATGATAACCAGGATCTTCTTGGCTACACCTGCAAGGAAGTGATACCATTTACATCTTCTAGAGTCTAGAAAGACAAAGCCAGACTGGCAGGTAGTAAAAGGAAAGAAGTAAACAAAAGTACTAGAGTATGCAATTCATGTGATATTGCTAGTGAATGCTGGAGGCCCACTGGCACTGATACAGTATTATGAGCAATTAGCTCCATAACTTCACAAAGTGGACTTTGCTGCTCTCATTTTGCTCTTAGCATATCAAGCTGACGTTCATTCCTAGCACTATACTCCCACCAGCCCTTAAGCCATCTCCTGTGAAAAGAAGACACTCTCCTGGTCAACCTTGTAAGCAAATTACCACCAAATTATCACATCCCTCACCCTTTTCTCTTTCTGTACCTTCAAGACACTCTCCTGCTCATTCATGCAGCAACTGGCATCACACACTGCTTAAGTGTGTTTTATTCTGACAAAGCTTCTAAAATGCCCAGATTGCTTTCCCTCCACCCAAACTGGGCTGATCTTAAACTGCATGCAAATCTATGCAAGAATGCCTGCCAGGTTCTAAATCTGTATTTTGCAACAGCAGGAGCAACATAAATCTCCAGCTCCAAACAGACCCAACGGTTCCAGGGAATCAACAAAATGGATGTGGGGTGATGTCCTCCCTCTTGTGGACAAGGTTGAAAACTAACTTCACATTCTCAACGGAGTCCTGCCATTACATATGGTCATATTGGCTTCTCATTCCCCAAAATCTAGAGCACTCTAAAGGGATGACAACAATTTGGATTGATATTTATCACTTTAAGAAAAGCAGGCATGTACTCTTTCATATTTTTAATATTCAAAAGAGAAAAAAATGGAATAGAGAAACTCTGGTTTATAAATGTATACCTTCTAATAGAATTTCAATTTACCAAAAAGTTTATAGAGACTTTTCTTAAATAGCAATTTTTACCACTGAATTTTAAAATATGACTTAATTTATACAAATTAAACATAACACAATTCTTCAGAACTCTATCAACTGCTTGCAATAATATTTGTTCTCTCATTCAATGACTAATATCTAATATGTGACAGACACTGTGCTGAAATTGGGGGAAAGCACAAATAGCATGTTCTCTGTCATTAGTACAGAATATAGCAAGTGGGTGTTGTAGACTCAAACAGGTAAACTGTTATACTTGAATAATAAAGAAAATGTGAGAATTCAGCTTAGGCATCTATACAAAGGTATAGATGAGAATTAAGAAGAAGGAGACCTGTAAACCATGTTTCAAGAATATAAGAGTAAAGAGCAAAGAGAAGAGTGGGAAGGCACTCTGGCTGAGGAAACAGCATATGTAGAAGCACAGCTTTCACAAGTGCATGAAATGAAATCATTTATTAAGCACAGAATCTGGTGAATGATAGTTATTAGGCGGGTGCAAAGGTAATTGCAGTTTTTGCCATTGCTTTTAATTGCAAAAACCACAATTACTTTTGCACCAATCTAATACCATGCAGAAAATTCAAGGTTCAGGAGGAATTTGGTGTGGCTGGAGTATATTAGAGTTTGTCAAGAGCGACACTGCTGATATTCTGACCAGATAACTCTTGGTTGCAAAGGCTATCCTGTGTATTGTGGGATATCTAGCGGTATCCCTGGCCTCCACCCACTAGATATCTGTGGCACTCCCTTTGGTCGTGACAACCGAAAGCATCTCCAGACATTTCCAAATGCCCTTTAGGGGGAAAAGTCACCCCCAGTTGAGAACCCCTTAACTAGAGCATATGGAAAGAAATGGTAAAATTTGAGATGGGGGAACACATAGATGACTCTAAAAAGCACAGTTAGGAAGTTTAGATATTAGTCAATAGAAAGCATTTTTAGATAGAAAGTGACATGATCAGACTTGCTTTTTAGACTAACTCCGGTGATTCAGGGAAGACCAAGTGGTGTAGTGAAAGACTAGATGTAATCTTATTCAATTTTCTTCCAGATACTTTTGCCATTGCTTTATTGTGCAAACATGTTATAAAATTTCAAAATAAACCATTATAAATGACAGTGGTATGTTTCTGAGAATTGCTCTGAGTCAATTCAAGAAAGCTCTATTGTGCAGAGCTGTGATTACACATATGGGTCAGCCTCCCATTCAGAATCATTGCTTGGTGTGCTGTCTCTGTAAGCATATAAGCTTGGAGTTAGAAGATCTGGGTGGAATTCCAGGTCTGCAAGTTATTTCATGGTAAAACCTTGTTGGGACTCAGTTTCCCAAGTGTAATAATAATACCGAATCAGTCAGGAAACCATTAAAAAACAGATGGCCCATTTGAATTGTGCCATTTGATGAAAGTTTAATAAAGGTAAGATTTAAAAGGTATAGGTAAGAGATAGTGGGCCCTCTAGGGGTAATGCAGTATTCAGGTCTATTAAGAGCAGACCCTTTTACTTTCCCTAATGGGTCTAGGGGAGGGCCAATTGCTAGAGTGCAGAGGAAGGGAAAGAGATAAAGTGAGTGGAGACCTTGAGGTCAACAGACAAGCCTTTCCAAGAGCCAGGAAATTAAATACCCAGATCTCATTCTCATCCTTTCCTTTCATCTTCCATGAGTATTTTTCACAGGACAAACTCAACTGAAATACAGAAGACAAGGGAGCTGTCAGGGCAATCCACATAGAATCACATTCCAAGGTGCAAAACTGAATGAAGAAGGGTGGAGAAAGATTGGAAATGGATCCAGAGTTGCAAGGAAAATGTATCCAGCACAAAGGAAAACACTGAAGTATGAATGTGAAAATATCCAAGCCATGCCTGATAATACCATGCTCAGTACATGTTGTATATATATGCATGTACATATGTGTTTGAATTTCCTTGAGGTCTAGAGGTGGCCCATTGCTTCCATGAGAGGATACTTCCATGTTGCAGGTAGCACTGGTCAGTAGAAAGAGCCTTGGTGTTAGGAGGTCCCAGCTCCACTACTCACGGGCATGCAACCGTGGGACCTTACTTTTCCCTTACGTAAATCTTGAACCATATTTAAAAACTGCATAAGAAAATATGTTTGAAAGGGCTCTGCAATTCAAACTGTAAAGTGGAACATAATTGTAAAGGGTTAATTACAATTCTTTGTTAGTCTTCCTTATCATTATGAAGTCTACTTTGATTAAATAGAGAAATAAGGGCGACGTTCTGCTTTCTTCTGTTCTCAAACTCCCTACACAATGGATCTACTTTCACAATCATGGTAGAGATTGCATTCAAAAATCCAAAGTTAAATCTTTTATATTTCTTTGAGGGTAAGAATGGCTCATAACAGTCATGGGCAGGCTATGTTTAGTGATTGAGCCTGATATCATGGTCCAGTTATGCTTTTCATCTTGAACAGCACTGTTCTGTAGATATTCTTGCTTGTTTTGCTCAAAGCTTGCTGCCTCACTCTGCCATATTCTTTTTCTCAGTATTCCAGAGAATACATTTACTCTCTCATTATCATTGACAATAACTGGTTAGTAAAATTTGAATAAAGGCTTTAGCTCTGAACCATCAAGAAGGATGTTTGACTGTGGGTATAGATCTGTAAATGAATGGATTTTTATACCTATTACCTTTGCTTTATTCTAAATATTATTACACAACGTCATTGAGCTGATTTTGGAAAAATGATTAATGGTCAACTGAACTCTTGATTTTGTTGTCTTATCTAATCTAGTGGTTAACGCTTTTGATTTCCAAATGACTATGTTGAAGGGCTAGATAACTGAACTGCTCCACACACAGTTGTACTCACTAGAATGTGGGTGCTTCCATATTATCTGAGGCCAGATCAGAGAGATAAATCCTTTAGGGTGGCAGAAGAAAATATACTTTCTTCCTGGCAGTTGTTTCACAATGTGCCAGTTCAACAAACCTCAATTCTATACATACAACTTACAAGGACAAACTGGGTCACAAATACAACGTGAACCAAAATTATGTTGTCTAAGATATAGGATGAATTTCCTAGAAAAGTCAAGCCAACAAAGAAAATTTAAGAAGTCTGATAAACTGATTAAAGTAAAATCAGTTTCTTGTCACTTTATCGAAAAAGAACCATAGAAGTTGTCATATTACTGTCTCTGAATTGCATAGAAATTTAGAGTTAGAAAGAAAGTTGAAATTTACCTGCATTCATACCTTTTATTTCATACCTGAGGAAACTGAGGTAATATTTTAAAGCCTTGATTTCCCTTCTTACAGAGATATGAAAAAGTTTGCTTTTTACTGTCCTTATTTGGAATCCTGCTTCCAAAATCAGGAAAAACAAAATCAACAATGTTGTGAAACAGATGATTAAATACATATGTGTACATATACATAAGTATATATAAAACACATAAAATCTATTGAGTCACCTAGTCAGAACATTGCTTTTGTGTTTTTTTGTGAACACTGAAATATATGCTATTACAACACTTCTTAAGGAAAGTTAGCTATGGAATGAGAACACAAAGGAATGGTGACAGAGCCAGACGTTACATACAACTCATACAGGACATGAAATAAAAGTACCTTTTTTAGTGGATGTGGCTAAGAGAAAAAAGAGAATTAATAAAGAGAAATCTCACAACTCTAACTTTGTGTACAGTAGAATCTAGAGTTACCTAGGTTAAAAAACTGTCCCTGGATTTGAATTCAAATATGCAGTTACAGTTTTGCAGATCTTAGCATGTTATTGGAATGACTGTTGGATGCTATATAATGTATCAGGGCTGATACATCAATTCATCAACCCTCTGGCCAACCTCAGGAGAATATGCTCTTCTTGGAAGATGACTACACTATTTGTAGTATTAGTTCCCAAATCATTAGGGTAGATTTAATATGTCAATAGTTGAGCTTATTTATTCAACATGTAGTTTCTGAGTACATACTATTGTTCCAGGCATTGTTCCAGACCTTGAGGATCTAGCAATGAATAAAACAAATTTCCTACCTTGTGGAGCTTTAATTTTAGCTACAGTCACATTATGTAATGGCTGAATAGAAGTAACCTTATTAGCCTGAAATATGAATGGTAAATAGTTATTGTAGTACACTGTGGAGAAGAATAAAGAACAACTAGTCAGCAGGAGGATAATCATTTTGACTGTAAACAGCATATTTCAGATTTTTCCACTCAAGCCTTCTAACAATATCATTTTACAGGAACTTTATCTAGAAGGATATGGTATCATATAGTTTCATCAAGGTATAAGCCACGGCTGTGAGGTATCCAACAACTGTGTCTCGATTCATTTATTCATAAACATGGAGGTACATGCTATGGCCACCATTGAAATAGGATTGTGGGGTAGGTATTAAGCAAAGTCTAATGTTGTCCTTAGCTTGCCAAAAACAACAACAACAAAGTTGTAACTGCCTGGCGGATGACTAGGATGCATCATACGCAGGCTACTACTGCAGCAACAACGAAGAACACAGCTAAAATTAAGTCATAAACACTTCTTGTCAGGGCTCCATTTCTCTGCAAGAAAAAAGCTGTTTTATAGGGCTGGCAAAGTATATTGTAAATTATATTACCAGCCCACAGCTGATGAGTTTATGAGTCTACAGGGAACAAGTTATCTGGCTCCGTCACCATGTTTAGCTTGCCAGAATTGCATGTGAGGCACACCAGCCTGAGAAATATTGCTAAAACTTAGAAATGAGTGGGCCAAGAATAGCGCTGCAGCAGAAGATAGAAAGTAGAGGGTACATAGCATTAATTTGTGCCCAAAGTTTTCCTCTTGGAGCCGTCTTTATGACTCAGTGACACTGTTCAGCAGTCCTTGAGTCAACAACTAATTATATTGCAAAACACTAGATGATCAAGTGTGTGTCTGATGAATGGGTGGACAATTTCCAGTAAAAATAAAAATATCTCCCACATTATTGTACCATCCTCAAAATGTCTTCTTGTTTATTTCTCTAACTAGCAAAAGCTATCTCTGTTTTCACTGTATTTTTCTGTTCATTTTATCTTTTTCTCTTATAGTTGGACTAGACTCATATTTCTAAAACCAATCTAATCATATCACTTTCAATGGCACCATAGTTCTTACTACTTAGCCTTGAATTCTAAATCGCATATGATCTGAGCCCCTGGTCTTATCTCCAGGCCAATGGCCTGCCCCTGCTGTTCCTTTCACTTTGGCCATAGAATACACTCTTGGCTCCTGGAACGTGCCCTGCCCCTGTGACTTTGCTCAGGCTGCTCCTTTTGTCTAAAATGTTCTCAGTCTATCTTCTGAGAACACGCAAGGCTCATTGACTCTACTGTCATCCAGTTCTCTCCTCTCCCAAGTCTACTCCTGTAGTCAAAGCCCCCATCCTCTGTCTACTAACTAGACTTCCGAAATCATCTCCTAATGATCCCCCCTACATTCATTCTTTGCTCTCAATAGTGGGTTCTCCACATGGCAGCCAGAACAATCACCTCCTACCCTTGTTATAACTTCCCATGCTTCCTAATGCACTGGGAATAACTTCATACTCCTTGGCTGGCTCACCAAGTCCTACGTGATTTCTTTCCTTGCTAAAGGATGATCTTATGTCCAGGTTTGGCCAGACAGTCTCATTTCACTTCTGTTGTCCTGGTGTAATTATTAATAGCACCACCTTTTACTCAAAAGTGTGCCAGTTTGGACTTAGAGCCACCTGGTGACCTTACTTTACAGCTCATCATCTACTATTGCCTCCTTGTCCATTACAGCCCAGCATGCTGGCTTACTTTTGTTTCCTTAAACACAAACATACTAATTTGTTCTTGCATTTGGGCATTCAGCCACCCTGTTTCCTTGGTATGGAATTACCTGCTCCTTGTTCATTTTGCACGGCTGGCTCTTTCCCATTCAGGCCCTAGCCCAAATAGCTTAACTATCATCTTCTCAGAAAGGTATTCCCCAATTCCCCTATCTCCCTGAGCATATTCTATCACATCAGCTCATTTATTTTTCATGACAACACCGAAAATATCTAATTAATTTTGTTTGGTGTTGTTTTTTTTTTTTTTTTTCTCATGTGTTATCTGACTTCTTCTAGGCTGTAAGCTCCAAGAATGCAGATACCTTTTCTTTTTTGTTTACCATGATGTAGCTATGTTCTAGAAGAGTGCCTGGTCCATAGTAGATGCTCTATAAAACAGATGGTGGATAAATAAGAAATCTTTGAGCATCGTCTTCTCTATGAAGCCTATCCTGAGTGCTACCTGTGCTCTCTTCCCAGGTAAGATGACCACCCTTTTCCATGGCCTTCTATCTGGTACATACATTTATTATCGGCGGTGCCTACAGGACTGTTTTTTGTGTGTACTTTAGTTTAGTTTACATATTTGACTCTCTCAATTCTGTAAGCAAACTGGAAGGACAAATGTATTTTCTGCTCATTTTTTAATTGTTTTAAACTTTTTTATTTCAAACTTACATACTTATAGAAAAGTTATAAAAATTATACTGAGTTTCTTATACCCCTCACCTTACTCCCCCTAATGCTAATAACCTCTTACATTACCATGGTATGATTATCAATCATAGCAAATATACATTGATTCAATATTTTAAACTTCAGGCCTTATTCAAATTTTACTATTTTCCCATTAATATGTTTTTCTCTTCCTTTCTGTTCTAGGATCCTACATCACAATAGCTATTATTTTGCCATGCTCCCTTCCAGTCTACAATAGTTCCTCAGTCTTTTGTTGTCTTTCATGTCTTTTTAAAGAGAACTAGTCAGATATTGTATCAAAGATCCTCATTTTGGTTTTGTCCAGTGTTTTTTCAGGATTGGAGAGAAGTTACATGTTTTTGGCAAGAACACCATAAAAATGATATTGTGTCCTTTTCAGTGCATTCTATCAAGGGGTTCATGATATTCCCATGCCTTGTTCCTGGTGATAATTTCCTGCTTATTTGATAAAGTCAGGATCTTCCAAGTTCCAGGTCTCTCTACTTCTAAATGATTGTATTTTCCTTTGTAGTTGATACATGTATTAGAGAAAATACTTTGAGCCTATGCAAATATTATTCTCCTCAAACTTTTATCCACTAATTTTAGCATCCATCAGTGATCTTGCTTGCAATATTTATTAATGTGGTGTTTGTCTACTGGTGATCCTCTCTTTTCCTGTTTCCTCCTACATTTATGAGTTGAAACTCAACTGTGTTCTTATTCATGTTTACCTCTCCTTGCCAGTGCTTATCATGACATTTGAACACATATGTATCTCTACTAGTACAGATTACACCAGCACAATGAAGTTCTCAGCCTCTATATGAGGCCTGCCACTTATTAGCTCTGTGACTGGACAAGTCACTTGATCTCTCAGTTGAGTCTCAGGTTTCTCATTGGTGAAATAAGGATAATATTAGCTCATGACTCATTAGCTTTTGGGAGACTATTCAACTCATTCCTCATCCATTCATTCAGGCACTGGGGATACAACAAATGAGAGAGACAACGCACCTGACTTTATGAAGGTCCTTAGACCCAGTCCCTGTCACATATTAGGCATAGCAAGGCTGTGAAACTGTTTCTACAGTTATGATTTAGAATTTCCTGGTCAATCCAGATTTCTTGGGATTGCAAAAAGCTTTCGGCAAAAGCTCAGATTTGATTCCTTTCCAACCAGAGGCGTTGTTTTTCAGAGTTTTCACTGACAAAAGAATGATCAAAGATGTACCCCGCCTCCCAGAGATGTAAGATTTTAGTAATTAATTTTTCCCAAACATACCAGAATTCTAGTGGGAGAGCTCGATTAAACCACAAGTAAAATCTTTAATGAAAGGTAAATGTTAAAAGTTCTTACAGGAGGGCTCTCCTTTCTTTAAACCACTCCTTTCAGGTTCTACTCTATGGAGGAGCTGGATCACTGGCATGTGGGCCAGAGGAAATATTTGAAAATGGAGAAAACTGTAGCTGGTAAATGTTATTGCTAGCTCTGGGAGGTGAGGCCTGCAAGGCTAATACCAATGTGCTGGAGCTTGGCAGACCCCCGGGGAAGCCCAGAAGAGCGGGCAAGCTGAGTACGCAAGCCCAGTCCAAATGTCACTCTAACATTTGCAGAGCTGTGTGTAACTGCTTAAGGAGAGGTTTCCAACGAGAAGGTCAAGGATGGAAAATCTGTTTGGGGAGGTGAAATATGTATTTGGGAAGATGCAGCAGCCATTTTGCAAAGTATTCTTTTCTCTTCGTGTGAGAAGGTTGTTTTGTTTTGGTTTGTATTATATGAACCTGTGTGGTTTTTCCTGCTAACTATTGCCTTCAGGAAGGCAAATGCCAATCTCTGGCCTGATTTTAGCAGGGAAGAAGAGATTATATATTGTTCTGAATTCTATTATTAAACAGCTTTTATTTTGTTTTCATTTTTATTCTTTATGTCCCTAGTTGGTTTTGTATGTCTACAGTTGAGCCTTGATATTTTAGAATTTAACATTCACAATTTTGACATTTTCTCAATGAGGCTGAATGTCATGCTATGCGGTCATATATAATTTGGTTGAGTCATACATTTTCATCAGTCCCATTGAGAGCAGGGAGTGTAAGAACTTTGTGAATAAACCTAGTAGAGCACTCAGCACACACATCTCAGTGAGGCTGGTTCTTTATTTAATTTTGAAGTACTTCAAACATTCGAACAAGTAGAAATAATAATATAATAAATATCTACATACCTGTAACCTGGTTTTTATTAATTCCTAACATTCTGGTATATTTGTTTCAGATTCTTTTTGAAGAAATAAAATATTACAGGCATAGGTCAATATTCTTGTAACAGTCCCACTTTCTTCTTTCTAAAAGGGACATTCGTCATGTCCATGCATGTTTTTATATTATTAATATATATGAAACTACACATGAAATATTTTGGATTATTTTAAATGTTTACAAGCTTTATCTAAATAGTATCAGTTTGCATATTCAGTAATTTGCTTTTTTCACTCAAGAGTATGACTGTGAGGTTCACTAATGTTGCATGTAGCTCTCATTTGTTCTGCTCCAGTATTGGATGTTATTATATTATATAGAGATACCACAATTTATTGATGCACTCTTCTGATTTAGATTTTTTTTCACATAACAAGCAGTGTACATTCTAATAACTAGCTCAATGTAAATTGCCTGAGAGTTTCCCTTAAGTGTTTACATAAATATGCAATTGTGAGGCCAAATGTCATGTGTAGCTTCAATGCTAAATTGTATTTCAAAGTGGCTGCCTCAATTCACATTCCCACTCTTTAAGATATGAGAGCTCTTAGTTCTCCTCCCTGCCAACACTTAATACTGTCAGAATGGTACATTTTTGCTACTCTGGTGGTTTGAAGTAATATCTCAATGCTTTTTGAATTTGTATTCTCAAGGTTCTAGTGTGGCTATACATGCTTTTATGTGTTATATGTTAACTATCCATTTTGGTTTTGGCATCTGTCATTTGCTTATTCATATCCTTTGCTCATTTTTCATTGGGTTATTTTTCTTTCTCTTGATCACATGTAGGGGGTCATTATACAATTTAGAATACCAATCCTTTGTGTGCTGGGTGCATTGCCAATGTTTTCTCCAAGTCTGTAGCTCGTCTTTTAATTTATCATATCTTTCTGGAACATAAGTTTTAAAAATAATTGTAATCAAATATATCAATATTTTTTTAATGATCTATGCTTTTTTCCCTTCTTTTAAGAAATCTTTCCCATACATAGGTCGTAAAGCTAATCACCATTATTTTCTTATAAAAATTTTAAAGTTTCGCATTTTACATTTAAATTTTTATATATCCTTAATTTATTTTCATGGGTGATATAAAATGAAGTCTAATTTCATTTTTTCCCATATAGATAAGAAATTATTCCAGCATCATAGGTTGACTAGTTTGTTTATTAACTAATGATTTTCAATGTCTACCTGGTCAAGGATCAATTTTCCATACTGTAAGGAACAGTTACTGAGCTCTATTGTGTCCCACAGGCTGGTGTGCCTATTTTGTGTCGATGTCCCACTGTCTTAATTAATTTGGGGATAAAACATGCCTTGATGTCTAGTTGGGCAAGTCTTTTCTCTTGGGTTTTTCCCCACCCCCAAGAGTTGTCTTGGCTATTTTTGGCCCCGTGATCATACATGAGTTTTAGAGTTAGCTTGTCAAATTCCATGAACAGTTCTGTTGGAGTTTTGAGTGGAAATGTGTGGATTTATAGAAGAATTTAGAAAAAATTGGCATCTTCATGTTATTGAGTCTACCCATACATAAATATGGTCAATGTTGATGACTTATTCAGGACTTTATAATCTTCAATAATATTTTGTCATTTTTCCCCTAATGGTCTTGAATCTTTTATTCGATTATTCTTAGCTTCCTTACATTTTTGTCACTATTGTATATGAATTTTTTTTCAGTTCTACATTTTAATTGGTAATTATAATTGTAGGGAGAGGATAATTAGATTTATATGTTTACCTTGTACCCAACAAACTTGTGGAAATTATTTTTAATTCTAATAGTCTGCCAATAAACCCTTATGGACTTTCTGCAAATAAAAGTACTGTAGATTCCTCTCCAATCTTTTTGCTTCTGTTTTTTTGTTTTTTGTTTTGTCTTACTCCATTGGCTAGTTTTTTCACTTCAATAATCAATAGAAACAATGATAGTATTCATTCTTGCTTTGTTACTAATGTAAATATATGTTTGCTGTAGTTTCTTGGTAGCTTCTTGTTTTTGAGGTAAAAATGTCCTACTCCAATCTAAGCTTGTTCAGATTACTTTTAATAAATATGCTGACTATATTAAATGTTTCTACATTTTTGAAATGATTTTGCTTCTGTTCCTTTATCTTTAATATCATTATTTATATTAAATTTATTATCTGATGCTGTATCATTCTCACACTCCTGAGAAAAATCTGTTTTTGTTTAGGATGTATTTTTTAAAATACCGAATTAAATTTGCTGATATGTCCATCAGAAATTCTATTAGAAGCCTATATGTAATACACATACAGTTGTTCTTTAGAATAGAAGATGGTTTAATGATATAAAATTGGGTCTATGTTGGTTTCTATCCAAGTTGATTTCATTTTCCAGGGTCCTTGTAACAAGTGGACTCACCACGACAGAGCATCCATATTTGGACTTTGGTTCTAGTGAGTTTCAATATTTAAAATAAATATGACAGGCACATTGTAAGTGTGAATTAACTATCTGTAGAATTGATAGGTCATTAATGCTTGAATGAGAGAAAATAAGAAGAGGTAGAAAAAAGAAAGAAGGAAAAGAAAGAAAGAAAGAAAGAAAGAAAGAAAGAAAGAAAGAAAGAAAGAAAGAAAGAAAGAAAGAGAAAGAAGGAAAGAAAGAAAGAGAGAGAGAAAGAAAGAAAGAAAGAAAGAAAGAAAGAAAGAAAGAAAGAAAGAAAGAAAAGAAAAGAGAAAAGAAAAGGAAAAGAAGGGAAGAAATGAGAATTTTTTATGGTAAAGTTTCAGAACGTATTCATATTTTCTGGTAAAATAGTTTTTTAAGAAGAAACAAACAAAAACCCTGGAAAAATTAGCTTGTATAAAATTATTTCTATTTCAGATCTGCTTTAGGAAGAAAGTAGGATTCCTCAAAATTTTTTCTAATCCTTAAGAAATAAAGAGATAATTTGTGCATCTGACCAATAATTGTATTTTGGCCTAAAATTAACTGCACCAAGGAAGCAGTATTTATCTGATATCCTTTTTTAAGGTCAGACAAAAGGAAATTCTATTGTTATCACCCTATGGGCCACAACCCATGGGATTGCCTAACCGTTTAAAGTAAACTCCATGTGTCAGACTTGTCTATCATTGAGAATGTAAGAAGCAGAAACCATTCTCAAGGATAGCTGAAAATATAAAGTACAACAAATTACCTTCTTCTCATGACTCACACAAATTCTTCAGTTATCAAGTCAGAGAACATGACATCTTAAAGTACTGAGCTTAGTTTTAATGTAATCATATTTATTTTCAATTTATTCTCTTCACATGTCTTTGTAAGAATCCCTTCAACCTCAGCTGGGTGTGGTGGCTCATGCCTGTAATCCCAGCACTTTGGGAGGCTGAGGTGGGCGGATCACTTGAGGCTAGGGGTTTGAGATCAGCCTGTACAACATGGCAAAACCCTGTCTCTACTAAAACTACAAAAATTAGTCCGGAGTGGTGGCATGCACCTATAGTTCCAGTTACTTGGGATGCTAAGGTGAGAGGATCACTTGAACCCAGGAAGCAAAGGTTGCAGTGAGCTGAGATGGTGCCACTGCACTCCAGCCTGGGTGACAGAACGAGACTCTGTCTCAAAAATAAATTTTTAAAAAAAAATCCTTCCGCCTAAATCTCCCTTCTCTTCCTCCAAAGGCACCACCTAATTTTTTGTTAAATGGTGAGTAAAACAGCAGCCAGGGGAAGGGGTTGCCATTGTTTGACCAGCTAGGGTTGTTTAGACAAACATCACTATTATTTCAGTATATAATAGAGGGGCAGTGTTGTTTATTTTCTAAGAATAAAGAGTCTAGCCTCAGAAGTCAGCATCTAAATCTCAGTACTGTTTGACACAGTAGCTAGTACATGGCTGATGAATACATGTTATGAATAGCTATTATTATAATGAGGATCAAACTCTCTGATAGATAAAACAGAGGAATCAAGATGGACCCACCACATGGGAATATAGACTGACAAGTCACTCAGCATGCGACTTATATTAGCTGTATTTGGAGCCCCCAAGAAAATGGCAGGAATTGAAAAATGGAATTGAAATTCTCTGTAAGTCAAACCTTCACTTTTGTTCTGTGCCATGTGCCCATATTAGTTGTTTTTCATGCTGAAATAAGAATGTGTCCATTGAATAACTGCAGTGAAAGTAAGTAAGGCTCTATGGAGACTCTGATATGGAAGGATGGGCAGAGAACAGGCATGCAAGATCTTCTAGATAATAAGGATTTGGGATTTTATTCAAACTTCAACAGGATACCACATGAGGGCTTTTGGATGGAAAGGAACAGGATTTGAATAATATATGTACATGAATGGCCTCCCTCATGTCCTCAGTTTTCTCATAGGTAAAAAGAAAGCCTTACAATAGACCAGTGGTTTTCAAAGTAGGGCTCTGAGACCAGCAACATCAGCATCATCTGACAACATGCTAAAAATGCATTCTTATTCCCTACCCCAACCTACTGAATCAGAAACTCTTAGGATGGGACCCAGCAAACTATATTATAATACACTCTCCAGTTGGTCTCTGATGTACACTGAAGTTTGAGAACCTCTGGGTTGAACAAGCTCAGATATTTCTTTCAGTTCCGAAGTTTAATGTGTCTGATCAAGTTAAGTCCTTCATGGAGCATGTCACAAATCCTAGCAAAGTCCTTTATGAAACAGGTCATGAATCCTAGCAAACAAGACCAACAATCTAGCATTTTTACCACCTCTGCTGACCAACATTTTGTTTTAGAAAGGAATTATTCAAAGAAAAATAAATAACTACCTAATGTACAGATCTCATGTCTGTACACATTTTATATTCTGAGCCAAATGTGTGATAAGATGAAAAAGGATTAATATAATGCCACACTGACCTATAAATTTCTTCTCATAGTTATCAGAATAAATTTCTCTAAATCCTATATCCCCCAATACTATTATCTGCTCGGGTTTATACAAAATTACGAGACCATTTAGAAGGATTATATCTGTCTCTATGTTATATAAGGATCTACACAAAGAAGGTATTTAATCAGAGACAGAACAGTATGATGAAAGGGCAGGTCCTTTGAAATTGCACAACACTACTCAGAATTCTGAATTTACTAACAGTTTAGGAATCAGAGTTAAAATGTGGAAAGGGTAGGGCAGGCAATTGGCACAGTTTAATAATATAGCTATCATTATATGTATACATGCTTGAAGAACTGTTCATATAATGCCATATAACTATGTTCCATAAAATAATTTCCAGACTATATTTTACACAGTGGCTTGCAAGTTCTGGCATTCTGGGTGTGAGTGTGTGACTGAAGTGGACTCTTGGATCATATATAACATTGGTTCTTGGTGAATCCCCAAAGGTTAACACAATCTAATAACTGGCCAGCTGGACAAAAAGTAATTCATACCCTGGGTAGGACAGAGTAGGATGGCACAAGATTTCATCCTGCTACTCAGAAGGAGATGCAATTTAAAACTTATAAGTTGTTTATTTCTGGAATGTTCCATTTAATAGTTTCATACAGGAATTACCTCAGATAACTGAAACTGAGGAAAGTGAAATCTTGGATAAAAGGGGAGTAGAGTATTTTAAAATACAGATATCAAACATGGCCTTGTTTAACAAATTGAGAAATACCTAAAGAAAGGAACATGTCTTCAAATTAAAAAGAGAATAGTTTATGATATAACCCACAATTAGTTATTTTCCACATCAGAGATACTTATTGACCTAGCAGAATATGTCAGGCCACCCTATCTCACAATGGCACCTCATTCCTGTAAAATTCCAGGGGTGTCCAATCTTTTGGCTTCCCTGGGTCACATCGGAAGAAGAATTATCTTAGGCCACACATAAAATATACTAACAGTAATGATAGTTGATGGGCAAAAAACAAAACAATACAAAAACCTCGATGTTTTAAGGAGTTTATGAATTTGTGTTGGGCCACATTCAAAGCCATCCTGGGCCACATGTGCCCTATGGGCCACAGGTTAGACAAGTTGCTCTTAACCATGATACTAATTTGAAATTTTTTTCTGAGTATGGGATAGCTTTTATCCTACTAACTTGTATAGATGCTGAGGCCTTCTACTAAACTAAACTTTGTATATATGTACACACCACACCCCTAACAAGATTGTAAAAAGCTCTTAAACAAGCACCATGGCTTTTACTTCTGTGCATTTCTCAACAGAACTGAGCATAGTGCATTATACCCATTAGGGGTGGAATAAAAATATTGATTATAAATCACATTATGCAGGAAGTATATAGGTTGAAAATAAATACCTTCAGGATAGATACAGATAAATCTACTGATAATATTAAATGGGTGTAGTGTAATGGTTGAGAACATGGATGGTAGAATTAAAAAGTTAAAATCTAAGCTTGGCCACTCATTACCCATGAGTTATTTAACCTCTATTTTTTATTCTTTTTTTTTAGAGACAGGGTTTCACTCTGTCACCCAGGCTAGCGTGTAGTGGCATGATCATAGCTCCCTGTAGCCTCAAACCCTTGGCTCAAGCAATCCTTCTGTCTCAGCCTCCCAAGTAGGTGGGACTACAGGTGTGCACTACCACACTCAGCTAATTTTGTATTTTTATTTTTTGTAGAGACAAGGGTCTCACTATGTTGCCCAAGCTGGTCTTGAACTCCTGGCCTCAAGCGATCTGCCTGCCTCAGCCTCTAAAAGTGCTGGGATTATAGGGGCAAGGCACCACACCTGCTCTTAACCTCTGTTTTTGACTCTTAGGTTCCTCACCTAAAAAGTGGAGATAATAGTATCCACCTCAATGAGTGGTTTCAAATATTGACTAAAGTACATGATGCTTAATAGAGTTCAATATCTGATAGCTATTAATAGTGATAATAGAAATTTGTAGCATGTGATCTAAGATACACTTAGAATATTTAAGTTGTACAACATGTAAGAAATCATGGTACCCCTCAAACTATCCAATTATTCCCTTTGTTCACACAGAATATTACAGAATATAGTCTGAATAAATTCTTGGGCTCATTTATCTTGGGATATTAGATTCTTAGGATTTATTATTAGTGAATACACAATAAATTATTATGCAGCCACTTAAAATTTACTTTAAAATTTATTTAACATTCAATCCTAGCATTTAACCATCATAACGCTATGTGACTGTTGAGTCTTCTGGCCATAGTGTCTGGCACAGCTAATTCCATATTTCTGGGAAACATCACAGGAACTAAGTAATAGCAGGTATAAAGCATGCAAATAAGAAAATAAGTGGCCGGGCGCGGTGGCTCATGCCTGTAATCCCAGCACTTTGGGAGGCCGAGGAGGGTTGATCACGAGGTCCAGAGATGGAGACCATCTTGGCCAACGTGGTGAAACTCCGTCTCTACTAAAAATACAAAAATTAGTTGGGTGTGGTGGCGGGCGCCTGTAATCCCAGCTACTCGGGAGGCTGAGGCAGGAGAATCGCTTGAACCCGGGAGGCGGAGGTTGCAGTGAGCCAAGATCGCGCCACTGCACTCCAACCTGGTGACAGAGTGAGACTCCATCTCAAAATAAAGAAACAAACAAACAAACAAATAAGTAAATAAAGTATAGGAATTATTAAAATTGAAGAAAACTCACCTAAAATTAATAAATAATTGTGTTTTAGTTTCTCAGGCTGGCGAAGATGTCAAAACACTGAGGAAGGGTGTCGAGCAATAATTGCAACCTAGCAGCAGCATATGAGCTGGAAAAGACTATTGAACGCAACTTAATTTGCAGTTCTCAACTGAAGCTTCTAAACTTAAAAAAAAAATTAAAAATTAAATAAAGCTAAGTAAGTTTTATAACTGCAGGGGAGTGTGGGAGCTGAATTCTGTGTTGGTTCCTTTATCCTTCTGTAGGAGATTTGGCCAAACATGACAGGTACTTCCATAAAATAAGAATTAGCAGGTTCTGGCTGGTAGGCAGCTCCATGCAGCCTGGCTGACACTCCATGCTTTCCTTCTTATGCCCTTGGAAAAGAAGGGCAAGGGAAGGGGAGGAGTAGGAATCTCACTCCTGCCACATTCAATATCAATAGATGACCCTCAGACTCTCCCACCCATAGTCCCAGGAGCTAGGGGAAAAACTCAGAGGGTTGAAAGGTTTTGTCATTGGTATAGAGACATGGGAATAGCAATAAGTCATCACACAAAAGCATCCAGAATTAGAGAACTTGAGTTTGCAAAGCAGTTTTGCCCATTACAGTGTAACATTGGGCAACTTCATCCTCAAGTGCAAACAACCCGTGTTAATGAAATCATGATTTTAGAGTATTTCACAGGCCTCGTCTACTCAGAGTTTATTATGAGCCAATCGGGACTTTATGCTTATGAGAATCAAGAACAAAACGTAACTAAAAATGAATTACAGAAATAAAACAAGAGATTATAGAATTGAAGGACATTACTAAAGTTTACAGGGAAAAGAACTTCCTCCGAGTTAGAATGTTTAGGGGTAGAAGTTTGTTTTTAATTTCTTATTTAAAATTGCATTTTCAACAAAATTTTAAAGTAGCACAAAACTTTACAGTTCACTGTGATTCTGCCCCTCTCTGATACCACCCAGAACTTTTACAACTCAACATGTGGTTCACTGACTAGCAGCACTGGAATTCCCTGGGAGCTTGCTAGAAATGCAGAATCCCAGGCCCCACCCCAGACCTAGTGAATCAGAATCTGCATTTTAATAAAATCCCCAGATGATTTGTGTGCATATTAAAGTTTAAGAAACATTGACCTAACTCTGATCTGTTATTTGTTATTTCTTACTCTCAAGTGTCACCTGGATTGATTCCTTTTTATCATTGTCATTACCCTAGTTTTGACACTTATTAGCAGATAGTTGGATTATTTCCTTTGGAAAAGTCATGAATGATTTATTTATTGACTCATTCTTCCACTTTTCTGGAGTATCTATGGTGAGTAGTGCAAGGAGGATCAGAAACTTCAACACAAGGATCAACATTTTACTATGACTCCTCTTTTTCCCAAACTTTGGTCAATGGTGCGTCAATATCACATATTTTTGCCCCATCTATATACTACCTGAATTATTATTTCGTCTTTTTCCTTAAATTGCTTCACTTCTTTTCATTTACATACATTTTCATTGAAACCAGTGTCACTTGCCTATAGAAGTTAACCGTAAAAATAAATACAGGTTGAGCATCCTTAATTTGAAACTCTGAAGTCCAAAGTGCTACAAAATTCAAAACTTTTTGAGCACTGACATGATGCCACAAGTGGAAAATTTCATACCTGACCTCATGTGACAGGTATTCAGAATTAATTAAAATATTGTATAAAATTACCTTCCAGCTATGTATATAAGGTATATATGACACATAATGAATTTCATGTTTAGACTTGGGTCCCATCTCCAAGATATTTTATTATGTACATGTAAATATCCCCAGACCCAAAAAAATCCAAAATCTGAAACACTTCTGGTCCCAGGCATTTTAGATAAGGAATACTCAATCTGTAGAATGAAAATAAAATACCAATAAATTACGGTAGATACTGTTCCTTTCTAAAGGCCTGGGCACAGCTGTCTCTTTGCAAATAAGGCAAATTGGTAAGAATGAGTGGGTGTTACAGACAAACTAAAAACAAACTTGACTTCTTCCTTGTTATAATCAAAAGAGACACACATTTTCTATTCTACTCAGGCCATTCTGTGTACATTCTTATTCCCTGTCTGCAGGTTGCTCCCTATTGCCAGGAATTCATTCTGATGCCAACCACCTGTCTCTCTAAAGCATGTTTAGTTTCTTCAGATTCTAATTTTTACCTCCCCAATTCTGACCATTTAATTCTCTTGGAGGAGATCTTCTTTCTCTGCACCTTGAAGAGGCCATCAGAAATATACATCTCAGCAGTTAATACTCATTCATTGCTTCATGTGTGCTTGTTTTAGCCCCATAGCTAGGCTTTGCGGCCCTCATAATACAGTGATGGGCCCCTATTAGGAGATAAATAAATGTATGTGGATGATAATGAGATTGTGCCCACTGGGGAACCACCTAGAATCCATCTGAGGTGTCAGGAGGTTTTGAAGAGCTTAGACATCGATCCTTCAAAGAGCAGCACTAAATCTTCCTACCAAACCTCCCAATAGCTGTCTCACAGCAGCTTTCAAGAGGTGGTTTTTGCTCCAGAGACCACAATCAAGGCCCATTAGAGCCTGAGTTGCCTGGTCTTGCTCAGCGGTGCCACCTCTGAAGGGGTTCTGCACAATTAGCAACGTGGCCTTGCTCAAGTGGTCCAAAGCATTTAGGGAGTCCAGGAGACTAAAATAAGGGGAGCATTAACAACAGCATGGAACCACAGGAGACTTCTGCTAAAGAGCCCTCTGGGAAACTGCATTGTTCTGATTGCTGCTTTCCTTTCATACGTGTTACCTCCAACAATGAAAGAGAAAGTTACAACGCTTATTAAAGTGGAGGGCCTTTGCCAGGATTTAGGACAGCTCCTTTTAGCTGTACCCCCCCCAACCCCAAAATTTATACACTTTACAGACATTCCCTCCCCAGTTAATCCCCCTGTATCCATCATGTCCTTGCCTTACTTACTTTGTTCCTCCTCTCCAAGTATCTTCTTTGCAATTTACTTTTACTTTTTTAACAAAATAGAAAATACACTGAACTTGGAGTTGGAAAACCTCAGTTTATTTTTTAACCTGGTCACTAATTTCCCATTTGATTTGGACATTTATTATCTTATTTCAAAAATAAGAATTTAAAGCTTCCCAAAACACATTTTACTCTCAAATGCTCATATCTATTCAGCCCTTTGGCCACTATGTTCACAGTCAGCAAATCTGCCAGTTTTCATAAATAGGAATGGAGAATCTGGAACCATCCTTGCACATCTTTGCTCCAAGATATATTTCCCTCCAGTGGACACCATTATCTTTGAAAATCCCCCTGAGCACAGGAACCTGGCCAAAGAAGACATGGAGAACTCACTCTGAAAGGAATCATGGCTAAGCCCTCAGCACCAAGGAGCTGAATTCCCTCAGAAGTCACCTACAGGCCACGCCACGGAAAGCACCAATGTGTGCTCTGGAACCAGCTAGACCTGGGTTCAGTTCCTAAACCCAACATTTACCAGCGCTGGGCGACCCTGGGTGAGGTCCTTATTGTTCAAAGCCACAGTTTACTCATCTGCAAAAATAGGGATGTTGATACAAGCCAAATTACAACTATTACAACATCCTGATGCCAAAGCCTATCACCCCGTTGTGTTAATAAATGTTGTCACTAAATCTGTATAAATACAGATCCCTTGGCAACACGCACACACATACCTAGATATATCTGCCTATTTATCACCTAACAGCAAAAATAGACAAGAACATCCCATGCGGCCTTTTTTTTTTTTCTCAGACATTGAAGACTCATAAGCAAAAACCTGTGTTTCCACACCCTGGCATCCCTGTCCCTCCAAACTTACCTTATACTTCAGCCAAGTGGAACCAGTCACTCAATAGATGGAAGTTTCTTGTCTCTATGCATTTGCTCCTGCTGCTTCTGCCTCTCAAATGGCTACTGCCTCCCATGCCTACCTCCTCAGCATAATCAATATGTCCCTTTTCTAGATTACACACTTGATCTCTGTTATATCTCTTCTATTCTGCCTTACAGCATGGTTAGGTGTGTCACTGCTTTCTCGATCCTCGTCAGAGTCTTGCTTTGGGTTCAGTATTATTCGTAGAAGTGAACTATACTAAATTGAGCAGGCTAGACCTAGGTTGAGCTCCTAAAGAGCAACTAGGATGTTTGATTATAGGCTCTATCTTTGCAGTGCTATGTCCTTAGAGAAAATTGCTCTGCCTCAATCACAGGGTAGCTCAGGAGAAAGGAAGTCAATTAGTTACTGTTGTGGGTTGAATTGTGTCTTTCAAAAAGACATGTGTAAGTCCTAGCCCCCAGTACCTATAAATGTGACCTTACTTGGAAATAGGATGTTTGCAGGTATAATCAAGTTACGACAAGGTCATACTGGATGAGGGTTGGCCTTATTTTAATTTCCTTACAGGAAGGGGGAAATTTGGATACAGCGACAGCCTGTGATATTGTGATATAATAAGAAATACATATTTGGTCTTTGTCCCTGGTTTCTATCACAAGAGCTTCAAAATCCTTTGAAATTTCCTGAGTGACAGGGAGGAGAGTGTCTTTTGTTATTCATAAGTAGCCCTTTTGAACCATAATCTGAGTTTATCCTAATAAGGTAACTCTTAATGGACCCTAGATAGCTTCAGGATGGGGACTGACTGCCAAAGAAACCAACCATGTGATTAGAGGGTTGGAACTTTAAACCCTACCCCCAGACTTCCAGAGATGGAGATGAAGATGGAGGAGATTGAGTCAATTACCAGTGGACAATGATTTAATTAATCATGCCTTTGTAATGGATCCTCCTTAAAAACCTTAAAACATGGGGTTTGGAGAGCTTCTAGTTTGGTGAATAGATGAAAATGCTGGGAGAATGGTGTGGAAGTTCCAGAGACAGCATGGAAACTAATTTCTATTTTCCTGGATTAAATCACTATAGCCAAACAAATATTGGCATTTTAGCGTCCAAACTCTGTCCCTGAAATATGGAAACATTTACTATATGCTTACTGTGTACTATGTACTTAGCACTGTGCCGGGCCTTTAAGGATAGAAAGATATTCAGACACAGTTTCCTGACATAAGGAACTATTTACACATATTTTTATCTACTTATGTTTAGGTAGATAAAATAGATGTACATATCTTTTCTCTATTTCTGCCAGTAAACTTTTCTTGTTTCTTATCATGTAGTGATTCCTTATGCAACTAGAGAAACAAGGTCTTGCCAAAATTGCACTTACTATAAAATGCTTTTTACTGATAATTCATGACTAAGGACCCCTATTAAAACAAATAAGTCTTAGATCAATAGTATGTCTCTTCCATCTTATAAGAACTCTCTCATGTGCATGAATTTTGTTTTTCTCTAACTTAAATTGAGCCCAAGAACAGGCACAAGGTGTTCTTTTACAAAAATAATGAGACTAACAGCATTTCTAGTAATTCACTCATAGAATCATGAAGGCCTGAGAAGGAAATTCTCAGCACATGGAGAGGAACACAAAGAAAAGTAAATATTGACAGAGAAATAAATTTATTTACAAACATGTTTATCCTTCCCAAGGGACTCAGACTCATGTAGTCTCTCTTTGTTGGGTTAACAATTTCCCTAGTTACCTATCTGTACTTTTTTTTTTTTTTTTTTGGTAAACACATTTGTTTTCGATTATGTTGTCATCTAATTGGTGTTAATGTATTTGATTTGATTTTTCCTGTTAAGAAATAGAGTGAAGGACAAATTTTATATGTGGGAATTTCTACTAATTAATTCCACATGAATTGTCATTGTCCTTACTAAGGACACTTGTACTTCAAGGGACCCAGGGACAAGGCTGAGATGAGTTCTCTCTACTAAGCTTAAAATGGTGCTAGACAAACCCATACTTCTAGCCCACTGGGATATAATATAGTTCAAGAATGGTGAATAGGTGTTATAACACTTTCTGACACTGACCAAATGTTAGCTTCTGTCTAGTGTGTTGTCTTTTAAAGCATTCCGAGACTAAGTGTGAACCCACAGGAAATAAAAGCCCTGTATCAGTTATTTTTGTCTACACCAGTAAGGGATGGGGAAACAGCTCATAGTTTCCCAAGCATTTCACAACTCTGACTTCTTTGGAAAGAGGAATCTAATTTCACTGTAACAATTAGTAACCCACACAGACAAGAGGGCGCTCTGCGACACATGCCAGGGGTATTGCACGTTGACAGTGTGGTAGATAGACCCTAGGGTGACACGGTCCTCTTCACCTCTTGATATTCACACTTTCATGTGATTCCCCTCCCTTGAGGATGGGTGGGAATCCTGTGACTTGCTTTTAACCAATACAATGGGGCAAAGGTGATAGGATGTTATTCCTGTGATTACATTAGTAAATATAAATGTAAATGTATTTCTTTACTGCCTTTACCACTAACTTTGAAGAAGCTGCTATATTATGAAACACCTATGGAAAGGCCACATGTCAGGGAACTGAGCAGCTTCTACAAGCTGAGGGCCTCAGTCTTACAACTTCAGGGAATTAAATCCTGCTAACCGTGTGAGCTTGGAACAAGATCCCAAGCCTCAGATGAGATCACAACCCTGTGCTTGATTGCATCTTTGTGCAGTTTTAAAGCAAAGAACCCAACTAATTCATGCCTGGACCTAGGACCTACAGAAATGGTGAGGTAATCAATGTGTGTTGTTTTAAGCAGCTAAGTCCCTAGTAATTTGTTATGCAGCAAAAGAAAACTAGCATAGGGAATTACTGGGAAATTCTGTTGGAGAGCAAGTGCAATCTGAGTGTTGAGGACCTTGATACCCAGAGAAATGTTCCCTAGTAAATCATCATGCTAGCTCCATGATGAATTTCAAACCTCATTTTAAAAGATGAGGAGAGTGAGAGTTTAAGAATTCTGCCCAATATAATTAATAACAGTCTGGGTTTCAAATTCAAGGAGGTCTATCTGACCGCAAAGCCCATGCTCTTTCCAAGACACTATATGCTGCTGACCTGAACTCACCAATTTGGGTTAGATGACTCCCCCTTGATTGCAGGGCTGGCTCTGAGTCATGTTATCATTTCTCTATAGTTCAGTTTCCACAAAGGTGAGGCATGGAATCCGAAGAAGACAATGAAAGAAATATGGGAGTTCAAGAAGTTGATCCATCACATGTAATTAAATTTGATTTCAGATATCCACAATCAACTTGTGGAAACTCTTATCCTTTAGACATAGACCTCGAGCTGCAAATTATTGATGTGGGGGTGGCAGTGGAGAGGGAAAACATATTTGAATTTTTTTAAGGACTCTAAAGGCAATTTATTTTTTGCAATGTAATTGGCAAGGTAGACTTCTATAAATATTTTCCTTCTGCAAATGCCCTGTTACCAGAGGTTTGTGGTTATAAACAAATTTATAGAAGCATAAGCCAGAGAAATCACTTTGCTTATACAACCTGATACCCCTTCTCCCTTCCCACTGCTAGTTCTTCTCTTTATTTTTCTTTTTAAGAAGCTACTCAAGGTAAAGAGAACTAGAGTTTCCACAGCAATAGATGTCTACAAAGGACCATCCATGATTATTAAACCTTTATATATTAAGATGTCATCTTTAGCTGGGGAAGAACTTCTAAAAACCTAGACCGAGTTCTCTCACTGGAGTTATCTCTGGCACCAACTGAAACCTCAGACTGCTTGATGGGCTAGGTGCTGGGCTTCTGCATAAACACCATCTCCTTCAGCTGAAGGTATTTCAGTCTGCTGAAGGATTCCAGGGCACAGTCACAAACTGCTAAAGTCCTTTTTGTCATAACCACTGAGAAGCTCAAAGAACACCTCAACTAGCAATGCAAATTTGTGTGAGAGGTCTATGCAGTCTATAGATATGGAGATGAAAACAGAGAAAATCCAGGTGGCCTTAGCCAAAGAAATAATGGATGGGGGAAGGTGAGAATATATAAAGATATATATGTATATATGTATGTGTGTGTGTGTGTATATATATATATATCAACATTTATTCACTTAACAAACATTTAATGAAAATGCTTTAACCAGTAAACTCACTCTACTAGAGAGTAGCAATACAAAGATGAGTAAGTCACTGTTTAGTATCACAATCTCAGTGACTCTAGCAGGAGAAACAGACTTGTGAGGAAATCCTTGTAACCTATGGAGTTCATTCAAGAACAAATATGGAAGCTATGAAGTCTGCCTGTGAAAGGTAGCTTCCAAGAGAAGCAATTATTTGGATCTTCAAGAATAATTAAAAGTACACCAGGCAGCTGGGCTCGGTGGCTCATGCCTGTAATCCCAGCACTTTGGGAGGCCGAGGCAGGCGGATCACCTGAGCTCAAGAGTTCGAGACCAGCCTGACCAACATGGAGAAACCCCATGTCTACTAAAAATAGAACATTAGCCGGGTGTAGTGGTGCATACCTATAATCCTAGCTACTCAGGAGGCTGACACAGGAGAATTTCTTGAACCCAGGAGGTGGAGGTTGCAGTGAGCCAAGATTGCGCCATTGCACTCCAGCCTGGGCAACAAGAGTGAAACTCCATTTCAAACAAACAAAACAAAAAAAGGACACCAGGCAAACAAGAAGGGAAGGTAATCCAGGAAAAGGTAAAATTTTCTGTGCTCTCTTCCTCTACAGAGGTGACCATAGCATACATTTAGCTTCCTCTCTCTAGTTAACCTGCCCAGCTGCAGGTTAAATAATTCTTCTACCCACTCCCTTCACTAGCAAAGCAAATCTTGTCTAAATCCCTTTACATAAGATTTATGAATTGTTTGCAAGTATGCCCCCAGATATTGATTCCTCAGTCCTTGAGTGAGGCTGGGGAGGTTGGCACATTTGTCTCTTAGCCAAATAGACTGATCAGGGAGCCTTGGACGGTGGCTCGCTGAGCAAGGTCTAATGGTGCACTCCTCTCGAAAACTCTTGGAAGCCTGATCTAATCACTGTCTCTTTTTCACATTATCCCAACCCTAGGTGTTTTTTACATTCAGGAAATGACCACGCATTTCCCCTCTGCTAAGCTGCTTTTCACCACTTATTTCCAACTTTCTTCTAAGCCAGTAGTCACTTTGGCAACGTGAGAAAAGAATTCTTAACATTTTTGTAACATGTTTTAAGCTTAGCAATTGTTATTCTCTATGGAGCCAGAAGAGGTGGTGGGGGGAGAATTAAGAAAAGTTTAAAAGCTGTTTAAGGTATGTTTCCCACATGTTGTTTTGGAGTGTGATAGGTGGGCAGCTTAACGGGAAAGGAAAGTGAGGGTGAAGTTGTGGTTGTATTTCAGCTGGAAAGCAAGGAAGCCTCGTGGTATATCAGATGTGGTAAGCCCTCCTGCAATGAATCATTTGCATGCCAGGAATGTACTTCCTCCTCAACAGCTATTCCAGCCCTTGGTCATCTGTCTTCTCTAACTCCTTTGGTCATTACTTCTGCCGGCAACATGCAACCGATAACTTTATTATAGAATATCTAACTTCTGTTGCTTTGGAAGTTGATGTTTGGCTTTCCTCCCTCTACTCTTAACTAGTTTGTAAATTGTATGCACAATTCAATTCTTAACTGGATATGGCATGGTCATTAGGAACACTTAGATCATGTTTAGATCCTAATGTTTCCATGTACTGGCTGTGTGATCTTGGGTAAGTTACTGAGTGCTCTGTAGTGGGGAACATTAGACAGACCTAAAGCCAGTTCTCCCAAGGAATGATCCTGAGGAACTGACATGCTCATCACCTAGTGTCACAGTCAACTATCAGAAATGTCCTAGGGTGTCTTCGCATTCATTCCTTGCAACTCTAAGTTGCAACAGATTCCCAGAACAGTCAGATGTGAAGGAAGAAATGCCAAGGGATTAAATCACCCTTGTGACAGCAAAGGGAGCTTCTTGCACCCAATAGAATCCTTACTCCAGGTAGGTGGTATTATCCCCAGCTGTGTGTCCCAGGGAAACACTGGGAGACCCAGAAAGCTGCACCTCTCTCTAGGTGCATGCTGCTTTAAAACTAGGTACTATACAATCTCCGTATGTTTCTGCATCCTTGTCATTAAAAGAACTCTATATCCTCCATCTGGGCCTGCTGATATCTTTCTGTCAATCATATCACCATCATGTGTCATTATTAATCATGTCATCATTACAGGAGATAGTTCCTATAAAGCTCTTAACACAGTGCTTGGTATTTAGCTATAATTGTAAATATATTATAATTTATAAAATAAATTAGAATCATATTTATAATTATATATAGTATTTTTATTTTTCTGAGAATCTACCAAAACACCACACACTGTATGCCTATTATCTCAAATGCTTACAACAACATTTCAAGGTATATAATTGTCACTTCCTTTGAAGATCTGGGGAATGAAACCTCAGAAAGGCAATGCAATTACTCCAAGATCACGCAGCTAGTTAGTGGTAAGGCAAGATTTGAATGGAGGTCAGCATTTGTGCCATTATCCCTTTCTTCCTTTACAGTTAAGCCTCAAAGAATTTTGCTCCCAATCATGTGTTGACACTTGTAATAAAGGATGTGATTAATGCAGTGGACCTGTAGCAAAGGGGACAGCATTGCCTTGAATCCGCACTTTGCAGGATATTTTAATTTCCATAAAATTTGCCATTTGTTGGCAGTGACATTGTAGTCCCTGCCACCCTTACTCCAACACATACCAGCACTCCCGCCATTGCCAACTTTCACTCCAATTTTCCTACACATTGCACTTAAGCTTATTTATGAAATCAGCCATCAGGGTGAAGAACTCTGGACAGCATGGAAGGCTCCTCCACATGCCTCAAGACTAAATTCAAATGGCACTGTTTTTGTGATGCCTTCTCTGACTTAGCCCAATGATTGAAGCTTTTGCCTCAGAGCAACCATAGTACCAGTGCAAGCCTCTGATGGAGCACTTACTAATTACTATGATTAGAGCTAAAAATTATTGAGCACTTACTATGTGCCAGGCATGATTCTAAGTGTTCTCCATGCATTATCCCATTTTATCCTTTTTGGGTAAACAGTATTATTACATTAATTATTCAACTGAGGAAACAGCACTGATTGCAATACTTTTGCTTCTTCCCCCGCCCTTTGGACTAAGTATGTATTCATGATGGAGACTGTCTTACCCTTCTCTTTTTAACTCACCCCCATGTGTTGACACCTCCAATGGGCTAGGGGATGACAGACATTATTCTTACAAAAATATACAGTCAGTACTACTCTCAGTTTCATATTATGAGTGAGGAAACTGAGACTCAAAGAGATTGCGTAGCTTTCTGAGAGGCAAAGTCCCCGCTGGTAAGAAAAAGAGCTGCTATTCAAGTCTACGCTCGTCCGTTCCCTTACCTAACTCCGTCTCCCATAGTAGGTGTGAAAATGAATGCTTTTGGAATCTACAAAATGCAAGAACAGAATGAGTGAATAGTAGTACACTTTGCATTAGGTGGCAGGGTCAGAAAGGTATGTTATGTGCTAAAAAAGAAATCAGGAACCACCGATACATCGTGATTTCCTAAGAAGACAGGTTCAGTCATGCATACACAATGACACATTTGTAGGAGACAAAACAGACCTTTGTGAATCACTGCTAATCAATAGTTTAATAATAAAGAGAATGGTCTTTGGAGTAAGAGATCTGAGTGTCAACGTTTAAACACTTGCTTTCACTTTTCCTCTGCAGGACCCAAGGTGAGTAAATGAATCCATCTGAGCCTCAATTTCCCTATCTGTAAAATGATGATAATAACACCCTGCTTGATACAAACTATTATGAGAATTACAATGAGACAATATACACAAAAATGTATGAATAAACTCTAAATACCATCAGGTTGTTATTTTTCATCTTTCTCCCAGGGCTTACATCAAATGCTGTCCAAAAAGTGCTCACCAGCACTCATTTCTAATATGTTTACGTACAGATATTCCTGAGAGAAGCACTCATGAAAAGCAGCTCTTCCTTAATCCTTGTTAATTCTTCAAATGAGGCCCCAATGTGTACTCTACCACAAGCCACAGACTCTTTCATTAATAAAATGATTATATTTTTTCAAACTGCTAGGTTTTATTCCCAGTTTTAGCACCCTGATAAGAGTTTATAGATGGGAAAATACAATCAAGTAAAAGTTCAAGCTCAGTTTTGTGCAGAACTGATACTGTCTCTCCTGCTTGAGATGAGAAATAAAAGCATTATGAATGAAAATGTCATTGAGTTAAACAAGCTAAATATCTTAGAAGGATTGATTTACTGCAAAATCCCCTCTGGAAATCAGAGTCACCTACGCATTCACAAAGCCATCTTATTTCATGGGCAATTCCCCTGGTTTCTAACAGGTTTTGACTTTCACACTCTCAGCCCACTGGTAGCCAAGGAATCATTAATCTTGACTTTATCAGCAACAGCTGATATTACCAGTCAAAATCCAGTCAAAATATTACCTGGATTAATTCCACTTTCTGAGACAGAGGATTTTCTTTCAGGATATTGAGGTCTCAAGAAGAAACACATATTGTGAATGGTGGGTGGAAAAGAGCGATTGCGGGGAATTTTGATTCATTTCCGTCTTTTTCTCTAGCTGAATTCTCCATGAAGATTGTTTTTTATGAATAATTTCCTTTCCCCAGTTCTAGATATGGCATTCTATGGTGCTAATATGATGAAACACATCGAAATACCTCAATTTACATGAAACATGAGTTGCTCAGAAAATTCCAAATATGTCATTACGGTGATCTATACTACTCTGTTTGGTAATTACTACCTTGAAAAGCCAAAGAAACAGATGTCAATAATCAAGATCTTGTTAGAACCAGGTATTTTCCATGATTCCTCCTATCTCCTCATGAGGAATTCCCCCACAGAAAATCCCAACCATTTTTGCCTCCTCAAATGCATCATTTATTAACGCAAAGGGCTCATGAGAAGAAATATGGACAGTTAATTTTGCTAGAGTGCAATCCACTATGAAGTAATTACACATAATCTTCATTATATGGGACCATAAAACAGAGCATCCATGGTTTATGCAAACCTGGACAGGTAGGAAGTGACGATTTCTGATAATGAGAGCTAAACAAAAAGTCTAAACTCTTTAGGCTGGCTCCAATCCGCCTTGCCAAATGTATGTTCAATTCTTGCTGTATAAAAATCCATTTATCACTAACAAATCATTGGTATCTCTTCATCATTGCTTTTGCTATTTTCCCCATCTAGAATGCCTTTCCTCTTTTATTTTACCAAAGAAAGAGGGTATTTTTATTCATTCGCTATATATAAAGCACCTACTATGTTCCAGACCCTTAGAATACATCAGTAAACAGACATCTCTGCTCTCTTAAAATAGTATGGTGTATTAAGACTACAGGCTCAGGTGGGGCGCAGTGGCTTACACCTGTAATCCCAGCACTTTGGGAGGCCGAGGCGGGCGGATCACCTGAGGTCGGGAGTTCAAAACCAGCCTGACTAACATGGAGAAACCCCATCTCTACTAAAAATACAAAATTAGCCAGGTGTGGTGGTGGGCGCCTAGTCCCAGCTACTCAGGAGGCTGAGGCAGAAGAATCACTAGAACCTGGGAGAAAGAGGTTGTTGCAGTGAGCCAAGATTGTTCCGTTGCACTCCAGCCAGGGCAACAAGAGCGAAACTCCGTCTCAAAAAAAAAAAAAAAAAAAAAAAAGACTGCAGGCTCTGGGTCCTGGCTTTGCCTTGAACAGACTATGTGATTTTGCACAAGCTACTTAACTCTCTGTGCTTCTGTTTCTCTTCTGTAAAGTGGGCATACTAATAGGACATATCATCTAGAAATGCTGTGGCTTTAAATGGATTGACAGTGGCTATAGTCAAAAGCTGACAGAAAGTAAGCACTCAATAATCAAGCTACTATCATAATAAACTTTGCTTACCAGGCCCTACACCTTTCTTCCAAGGCTGAGACAAATTTCTACTCCTTCTGTTAAGCTTTTCCTTAAACACCTCAGCCAGGAATTTTTTGCCTTTTTTCTTTCAACAAACATTTATTCGCTGAATGGAAAATAGGATTTATCTTCTATGCCAACCCTAATCAAGAAATCATGGCTGCTTAGAGTCAGGGCTAAGAAGCAATGCGAGGCCAATTTCAGAATCTCCAGAGGAAAAATGATATGCCAAGACTGATGAGTGATGTGTGACACAAATGAGGAAAAGTCATGAGAAAAGACTGAATGACAGAACTCAGCGATATATTTATGTAATCAAAATATTTACTCCTCTGCTTACAATGGTTATATCTGGGTAAGTTATTTAACTTCATCAAGCCCCAGTGTCCTCATTTGCAAAAATATCTTAAAGAGTATTACCTTCTAGTATTGTTGGACATATCAAAAGAGATATCGTATATAATGCACCTGGTTAGAGGCTGGTTCACAGAGCTGACTTAATGTTTGTCGTTGTTATCATTCTTGTTGTTATCACTACCTATTACCAACAAGCGGAAATACCACCAGATGGCATTGATTACATGAGGCAGAGTGTGAGCTTTTTTAATGCATTGCCTCAGTCTTCCCAGTTAGTAACTCTTGTGGGCAGCAACCCTTTGAACCTAAAGTGCCTAACATCTGGTCCGGAGGATGAGGTACTAAATGTACATTTGTGGTGTGGGTGAAGTCAGGATGAGAACATCTTTTTTTCCTACATCCAGCTGAGGAAGGTCAAAACTAGGGAGGTAAATGAATTGCTGAAAAGTCCCTCTTTCCTGAGCCAGCATTGCTGCTTTTCTGGTACACCAAGAACAAAATGAAAGGAGATGAAACTAAATATTAAATGGGTTTTTCCTCCAGGGAGAATCTACAGCTATACTTCTTTGCGAAGGACACTGATGATCCAGGCCACAATTCAGCTAAGGTAAGATATTGCATCCCACCACTCTAGGCTTTATGCTAAGTATGTTGAAATAAACCATAAAAGGACAGAATGACAAAGTAAACCCTAGAGGTATAAGGGGAAAAGCATTAGCGCATTCTCAAAAAATGATACATTTAATAGTACGCTGTTGTTGTAAGGCCATTTGAGGCACCATAAGAAAGAAAAACGGATGGAGCTGCCCTGAAGGTGGAATGCAGGGAGCAGAGCGACTGCAATACATAAGAGCTGTCTGGAACTGCTCTTGCAGATAATGCTCAAGTCCAATAAGAGGCTGCAATGCTTGGACTATCCACCAGAGGAGGATAAAACACACATTTGGCCATTTTTTTCATAGGAAAGCTTTGTCTCTCCATCTTCAATAAAGCAATGGAGTTCAGGTTGTTGAAGGCTCAAGTCTGGGAAGTACCTAGAAGTACCACTCAGCTGTCATTAGTCATGTTGGCCATGGCTGGAAGGTTTAAGTACCTTTCTTACATTTTTAGAGCACAGTGATTACAGCACTTTTACAACATTATTTTAAATTCGCTATTAGAGTAGTCCCATTGTCTGCATAAGCAAAACAATACGTTCATTGTACAGATTAAAAAACCTGAGGCTCAGATACATTAACTGACCCGAAGCCACACAATTATAAAGTGGTGAGCAGGTACCAATTCTCCAGATGTGGCCCTAATTCCCACTTCACAAGGCTATGTTCATTTTGCACAGCCCTTATCCACAAAAGATAACTTCATTCTCCCAGTGACCAGTTAATTCTTCACACATCCTCTAAGGCTGCAGGGAGGGAGGGCAAGAATGGGGTGCTTTCCTGAAAATAATTATTTCCCATAAATAACCCAGGAGCTTTCCAGTAAGTCTTTACTAGAATCCTAGTGCTTTTATTTAAAAATAAACATTTTATTTTGGAAGTTTAGGTTTATAGAAAAGTTACAAATCTAAAAGTTATGAATCTAATGTAAGCTCCCATATGCCCTTCACCCAATTTTGCCAAATATTAACCTCTTACACAACAATGGTACATTTGTCAAAACTAAGAAATTAACAATGGCATATTACCATTAACCAAACCCCAGAATTTATTCACATTTTTTATTCACAGTTTTTCCACTCATGTCTTGTTTCTGTTTCAGGAGCCGACCCAGGATACCACACTGCATTCACAATGTCATTATGTGAATCTCATCCTTTAGCCATCCTCCTTTGGGAAATGCAGAGTTTCAGTGTTTTGAAGACAGATACACCATGCCTTTCCTGAGGACTAGCATAGACAGACTCCATACCTTGAAGACAGACACTATGCCTTTCCTGAGGCCTAGCCTTTCCTAACACTGGGCTCTGCCTAGCACATGGGAGGTACATGATTGCTAATTAATTTGTCATGCAGAATCCTTTTTTTTTTTTTAAGAGATGGAATCTCTCTCTGTCGCCCAGGCTGGAGTGCAGTGGCGATCTCAACTCACTGCAACCTCTGCCTCCCAAGTTCAAGCAATTCTCCTGCCTCAGCCTCCTGAGTAGCTGGGACTACAGGTGCACATTGCCACATTCGGCTAATTTCTTTTGTATTTTAGTAGAGATGGGGTTTAACCATGTTACCTAGGCTGGTCTCTAGTTCCTGAGCTCAGGCAGTCTGCCCCCCTCGGCCTCCCAAAGTGCCAGGATTAAAGGCGTGAGGCACTGTGCTCCACCCAGAATCCTATTTTAATCATTGTTATGAAAATCTGAACCATCAGTCTTAAGATTCAGGTTTGTTTTAAGGTGGAGGCAAGGCACATTCAGATGAGAGTAACAAGTTCTGCTGAGATTGCAAAGCTAGTTTTCAAATTCAGAGTAAATGTGAAATATAACAGTCATCAGCTGAGTAGAGAAAACAGCCTGTTAAACACTTAAACAGCATTCGCTTTCCCTTCAACCAAATCTAATAACCCACCAAATGAAAATTAAGGAGAAATATAGGATTTGTAAGAACTTGGAAGAAATGTAAATAAGATTTTAATCAGTCTATTACACGGAACAGAGTTGGTGGCACACCGTTAAACATTTTCATCCTAGAACCAGTATCTATGTATAGCTGTTAATTGTGCAAATTCCTCAGTTCTTCAATGCTGTTTCCAAACCAGCTGCCAAGTACAGCTGTTTTTTGTTTTTTAAACAAAGTCAATTTTTAAAAGTTGGAGCAAGGGTGAGGGAGAATGGAATATGTGATTTTAAAAAGCAAGTACAACAAAACTTTCATTTTACAGTGAACCTTTTTTTTTTTTTTTTTTTTGAGACAGAATCCCAGTCTGTCACCCAGGCTGAGCTTGGGCGATCAGAGCCACCCAGGCTCTGTCACCCAGGCTGATCTTGTACAGAGCCAAGTACAGTGGCACGATCTTGGCTCACTGCAGCCTCCACCTCCCTGGTTTAAGTGATTCTCCTGCCTCAGCCTCCTGAGTAGTTGGGATTACAGGTGCATGCCACCATGCCCGACTAATTTTTGTATCTTTAGTAGAGATAGGGTTTTGCCACGTTTACCAGGCTAGTCTCAAACTCTTGACCTCAGGTGATCTGCCCACCTCAGCCTCCTAAAGTGCTAGGATTACAGACATGAGCCACCGCACCCGGCTAGTGAACCATTTAAAAGTGTTAAAAAATATGAAAATGGTTTTTCTTGGATATTATACTTTCCACACAAAATACATAAACATTGTCTAGGGAAGCCCTCAATGACTCTGGATGAATAATTCAATGAAAAAGAGACTACCCTAATGGTATTTTACTTGCTATAAGCAGCCTTGTGAGAAATATCTCTCATACTTTCCATGTCCAAAACCATCATGTAAATACATAATCTATGTTTTTCAACTGGAAGTATTTGGTACTAATTTGATTATTATTCTCTTGCATATGTCACTGCCTGCCTAGCATTTTTTAGAAAAATGTGTATCTATAGGAAATCTACATACACACAGCAGATAGGTAAACATACAGATAATTTAAGCTTTCTGAGGATAGTATTCATTTTGGTAATGCCAAGATCAGCTATAGTATACTTGAGAAATGCTTGAGTAAGGAAGGAAGCAAAACAGGTTTATTTCAGGTTGGTAGGGGACTGCTACTAAGTACCTTTCCTCAGCCTATCCATGAAATACCAATGGAATCTCTTCATCAAAGATGTTTTGCACCTAGAGCTGCTACGGTTGCTATTTTCTCCAAAGAAGAAACTTGTAAATTCACAAGACCCAACATAACTCACACCTAGCAGTCAATAGAACTCCCAAAGCCTCAGGTGTTTTTTATCTGTAAAATAATACCTCTTTAAAAAGACATTACAAAAGTCAAGTGTGCTCACTCATTTATTGACTAAACAACTATTAATTGGATACCTAACATGTACTGAATAGCAAGTAAGGGTATCAAGAGAGAATCAACAACAACTCAGTCTCTGTCCTGATAGAACCAACAGCCTATGAGGGAAGAATGGCATCCATTAAAGGCATGCGCTAGACTGGGCTCAGTGGCTCACACCTGTAATCCCACCACTTTGGGAGGCCAAGGTGGGAGAATTGCTTGAGGCTAGGAGTTTGAAAACAGTCTGGGCGACATAGCAAGACCCCATTTCTAAAAAAAAAAAAAAAAAAATACAAAAACTAGCCAGGCATGGTGGTGCACACCCATAGTCCCAGCTACTTGGAAGTCTGAGGTGGGAGAATTTAGCCCGGGGGTGACAGTGAGCTATGATCGTGCCACTTCACTTTAGCCTGGGCATTCCATGAGAGTAAATGGAAGAGCATAGAGCCTCTTGACATCTAGGCTTGGAACTGGCACAATGTAACTTTGCTGCCTTTTACTAGACAACATAAGTCCAAAGTCAGGTATTTTAAATAAGTAGAGAAATATATTCCACCTCTTGATGGGAAAACCTCCAAAAGCATATTATAAAAAGGTGTGGATACAGGGCAACACAGTGAGACTCTGTCTCAAAAAAAAAAAAAAAGTGTATACTGAAATGGTGGTTATCGAGTTCACAGTGCATTAAAATCAGTAGGACAACTTGGTAAAACTCAGATTGCTGGGCCCCACCCACCTCCAGAGTTTCTGGTTCAGTAGGTCTAGAGTGGAGTGGGAAAATTTCTACTTCTAACAGGTTGCCAGGTGATACTGATGCCACTGGTGTGGCAGTCGCACTTTGAAAACCACTGCACTACTAAATATAAAATTACAATTTTGTTAATTGCAATTGAAAGGTGGAACTAACTGAAGAGTGGGATTTGATGTAGTTAGAGAAGTTAGGGACTGCTTCCAAGAGCAAATTACCTTGAAACTGAGATCTGCATTTGTGTTTGAGAAAATATGTGAAGAAGACATATCCTAGGCATTGAGAAGAGAATGTGCAAAGCCTGTGTGGTAGAAAGAAACAGGGGAAATATTAAGGACTGAAAGAAGGCCTGTGTGGCTGGGAGTGAGGAGAACGGTGTGGGGTGGGGAGTACCCAGGACTGGGGCTGAACAAAGAAACGGAGGCCAACTGGTACAGAGCCTTGTAACCCCACCATAGTGTTAAAATAATTAACTGGGAGACCATTAGGCTGAGTCAGCTCCAGTGTGGTGGGTTCCTACCTAAGCAAACCAAAACCCAACTCAGAGTAGAGTCATAGCCTAGAAAAGCAAAACTCGAGCTTAACAATCCGAAACTAACGCCTAACCTCGAACTACAAACTTCCATTTTAACCAATCAAACATTTTCTTTCCTGTGCTTCTGTAAACACCTTATAAGGTTTCCCCTCACACCCTTGTCATGGAGCTCTGAACAGCCCAAGTCTCATGTTGCCTGATTCATGAATTGCTGAATGCTCAAATAAACTCCTTAAAATTTGAATGTGCCCCAGTTTATCTTTTAGCAGTTCCTACATATTATTCTTTGAGCCTTGGGAAGCCAAGAAAAGGTGGTAAGTGAAGAAGGTGACAAGACTAGATCTCATTCTCTGAAAAGCGTTTTCTGGCTTCTTCTATTGACTAGACCATATATGAGGCCACTTCCTAGAGTCTATTGCACCATCGATGCTGAATTTCTCTGATTTGGACCTCAGCTCTGCCAATTTCAACCTGGGTAAGTTACCCACTGCTCTAAGCTTCCATTTCCTCTTCTGTAAAATGCTGGAGGTAATTCCTTTCTAATCAGGTTTGTGGGGACTGACTAAATGTATCACATGCAGTACTTAGACCCAAGTTACCATTCAAATCTCAGCTGCCATTATCATCATTATTCACTGAGAGCATAAAAAAAATGCTACTGGGCAATAGGAAGTTTTCCTCTAATCCACAGGGGCAGGAGAAAATAGATTTAATTTTCTTAAAAGCTCTTTCAGGTAACATATCTTACTGTAAAGGTGACACCAGCTTAAGCCACAAAGGAAGAGAGTGCAATCTCTAAATAGCCAAAAACCAGAGCAGTTTCAGCGTCTGTGAAATTAAGGACATAATGATGGAAATCGATACAAGTCACCCAGCCGCTAACCCCAAATGTAAGCTCCAGAAATACAGAATTTTTTTTTTCTGTTTTGCTCACTGTTGTATCTATCCCTAGTAACTAAAAGAGTGCTTGAGACATGGAACTTCCTTGTTGAAGGGAAATGAGAACCCATCCATGTTTTCATATTCAGTTGAATTTGGAGGCAATTCATTTTGCTGCCATCACTCAAGTCTCCTGTTTCACCTGAGTGGCTGGTCACTTACAGACTGTGTAACGTGGGTGTGTGGTTTCTGAATTGACATCTGGGGTCACTGTATCTAAGGGCAGAGTCGGTGGAATGCTGTCACCAGGGAAGCAGCAGAGTGTGTACACCACACCCTCAGCCTGCAGTGTGCGTGGGCCAATGCTGAGTCAATGCAGCTGGCACCTGGATGACAATCAGGACATTCATTGACATCTCCTGCTCAGAATTCTCTGTTAAAAATTCATCAGCTTCCTGATGTCCTTAGAATAAAGCTCCTAATGACCAGGCTTACAACCCCCTGCGTGAAATGACCCTGGCCCACCCTTGCAGCCAAGCACCATCTCTCTCTGGTCAGGCCCCACATTGCAGCCAATCTGAACTAGCCCTGAGGGCAAGGCTCTTCCTATCCCTGGGCCTCTATCCACACTGCTTCTTCTGCCTGCTACACCCTTCCCACGCCTATACTTTTTCTTACTTAAAATCTCACTTTAATGTCTCTTCTTCCAAGACATATAAGCCCAATATTTAAGAATCCCCATAGAGCCCTGAACAGAGAGATTATTTCAGAATCTTCCTTCCCTGTGAATTTCTTAAGAGCCATGTTTGCCTTGCATTCTACTCCCAATGCTTGGCATACATAGGTTCTAAATGTGTCCAATGACATTATTATTCTCCTTTTACTCTTTCAAAATACTTTTTTAAAAGACAGAATCTCACTCTGTGCTCAGGCTGGTGGGCAGTGGTGCCATCTCAGCTCACTGCAACCTCCGCCTCCTGGGTTCAAGTGATTCTGGTGCCTCAGCCTCCCGAGTGGCTGGACTATGGGCATGTGCCACCATACCCAGCTAATCTTTGTATTTTTAGTAGAGATGAAACCAAACAGGGTTTCACCCTGTTGCCCAGGCTGGTTTCAAACTCCTGGCCTCAAGCCATCTGCCTGCCTCGGGGCCTCCCAAAGTGCTGGGATTACAGGCATGAGCCACCGCGCCTGGCCCCAAAATGCTCTTTTAAAAGGCAAAATCGCAAGTGCAAGGACAAACACAATTCCCAAGGAATGTCACAAATACACGAACACTTGCCATTGGTGACTTCGGTTTCTGCTGAGATGAATTCTGCCTGTGGCGTGATCTCCTAACAACTGGGATTCTGCCAGTTTGCATCCTGGGATCCACTCCTCTATCCATTTCCTGGTTCAGTGCTTCTCATGCTTTGCCGTGTACATGAATCACCTGGAGGTCTTATTAAACTACAAAATGCAATTGAATAGGTCTGAGATGGGGCTCAGATTTTGCATTTCTAACAAGCTCCCAGGTGCTACTGCTGCTCCTCCAGCAGGCCACACTGCTGGGCAAGGTCACGGTCTATGGAGAAGACTCACCCTTACTTTACCTCACTCCTTCCCCCTTCCGTCCCCTCCAGGGCAGGCACACTTTCTTTAGGAAGCAGTCAGCAGTGCTGGAAGAGTGGGAATCTCTTAATTAGAGAGGGGTGGCAAGACTATGTGTGTCCAGGACTTAATGAGACACTCACAGATGCTTCACCCACTTTGAGGAGCTTAATGTGATCTAATAACTGTGATTTTAGATTAGCGCTAGCTGTACAAACAGAGCGATAGGAGACACAGCCTCCAAGAAATAGGGAGCAAGGAGGAGGGGAGCACAAGGAGGGACAGGGAGGGAGAAAAAAAAGAATTAGCAGCTGGACTCCTCCCCTGAGTTAATCTATCCCCAAGTGCACATCACCACACTGGGGGGCAATTTGTAATTAATTAGCTATAAAGAGAATTTATCCCCATGTAAAACATATGCTCTGCTTCCTTTCTTCGGAACATCGGGGATGCTATGAGGGTAGCTGAATTGCCTTTACCACCTTAGACCCTGCAGATTAACTCAAGCATCCTCTCAATTCCCTGTCTGCAATGTCTTCTGGCTACAGAGAACCATAATGCAGAGATTAACTGTGAAATTGTAAAGAATATAGTGGGGGGAAAAAGGCTTGAGCATAGCTGGTATTATAGTCAAAGCTAAGGACTTCTTTTATCTAAGAGGCTTCAGAGAGCCTAACAGCTCTTACTATCTCTCCTCCACCTAAGCCGCATGACAAAACGGCCTCCCCGCTTTGGTAGGAATTATGCATGTCAGTGTTAATGTCAGTTTAATATATTTTCAATATTGTGAAATTGTCATGGTAGAATTCTGGGAAACTGTTCCCCTGGGGTCCTTAAGTAATAAGCTATCAAAGAGAAACTAAAGGAAGGGCCAATGCTAGTTACCTCCTGAGCTCTGAGACCTCTGGCCCTCAGAGAGCCTAGGAAGCCTGAGTCTTCATAAACAGACATGAAAACATGGTGAGATAACTAAAATAATTGTTTGGGGGTTTTTGCCTACACAAACATCCTTATGTTTAATGCCAGTATGCTTAGTCAGGCTCTTACATCAGAGATTGTGAATTTAGGGCTGGGGCCCATGTTGTTCATTGGTATGGTTTGGGGGAAGAGGAGGGTAAGCAGGTGAAAATATTACTCTGCTTTGTCTAATCTCTCTGAGTATCTCAAGACCTTATTGACATACAGCTTCCTCAATTGCCTTATTGTAGCCTTAATAATATCTTGTCAGCATACTATCCTTTAAACATATGGAAAAGACACATCCTATCTCACCCCAACTTTCCAATTTGGCTGTCTTTCCTCCAGCATCACACTAGATATTAAGCATAACAAGATCACCTACTCTCCTACGTTTGCGACTTCCTCCAAACTTGAGGTTCCTATGATTGGCCTTTCAGCATGAAGAAAAGTTTTGTCATTCATGAACCCAGGATATATCGACTATATCTGCTCTGCAAGTGTTTGAGGCTAAATGTGTCAAGAAACTTCATGGGCTACAAAGGTGCTGTTCTCAAACCTGGCCTTCACCCATCAGTTGGCCTGAAGAATATTTGCAAGGCAGTGTGTGAGGCTGGATCACACTTTTGCAGTGGTGGGCTTTATCCTCTAGAATGGTTGGTATTAGCGGAAGCTAGATTCATGGAACCTTCCATGACATTCCAGACAGGGAATCCCTTTCATCTGTTTACAGAGGTGCTGTTCTCAAAGACTGAGGGTCAGCCAGGGCTTTTGGAGGCTGAAGGAACTATAAATAAATAATGCAGCCTGATCTTCAGATAGAGAAAATTGCTTGAGGGTTTCACATCTGCAGGGGATTTTCTTGATGAGACAGGACAAGATAATTCTAGAGACAGCACATTCACACCACTTACTAGAACAAGAACATGCAGGACCTGTGTGCCACATAGGTATGTTTTTGGCAATTCCTGCATTAGCTCCAGGGCCTAAAGAAACAAAGTTGGAGGAAAAGTGAAAGGAACCCCAGGGAGATAGAAGCCCAGAGGGACAGAGTTGGATGTTTCTGCCTCCCCATTCAGCCAGCCTCTCTGAAGCCATTTCTCTATTCCCAAAGAATTAAGATACATGCACACTGAGATTATAAATGAAACAATAAAATAAACCGATGGCTCTAATTTTTCCAGAACATCAGCTTCAGATTTGAAAACTGTTGTTAAAATAGTACCTCTTCTTTCTATTGCTTGAACTACAGCCAACTCCACCTTACATATGCAGGTGAAACTAACAAGTGTCTAAGCAATCAGCAGCAGGACTCGTTTCTTTTATCAAATCAATACTTCACTGAAAATGAAACTAGGATAAATCTGAGACCTTGGATCAAGGGCACTGAAGGTGAAATGAGCATAAAAGCTTTTCTTAATAATAGTGGTAGGCAATCTATGGGCATTGTTTTGGCAAAATGATGAGTCCCGATTGGCTGGTGAGATTGGATTTGTTTCTCATTTGTCAACTTGGAATCGATAGTTTCTGTGCATTTCTAGAACCATCTCTTTACCACAGGGCCCATGTCCATCCATCAGGAGGCCCACAGTAGAGCCAGGAAGAAGTCACTGCTCAGCCCATCTGACAATTCAATTGGTTCACTTCCTTAGGAAATTATTGTTCTCCCCTTCTCTAAGTTTCTAAGAGAAATCATCAGAATGTGGCCAGACTCTCTTATTTGATGTTTTGTGAGGAAAAGAACATCCAGAAAAAAAAGGCATTTCTGAGTTGGGTCGTTATGCCTCACACTGCCTTTTATGTGAACACAGTTAGATGCTGTGATGTGAGTAGGCTGTACACGGATGTCCTGGATTTGGTTCTACTGCAGAGTCTGATATTCCCAGCATAGTGATTGCTTTGGGTGAAGGTGCCAAGGGTTGCTGCTAATTAATAGTTATGGTTGCTCTGGCCATGGCATTTGTATTTTCACATTTTAGCTCAAAACAGTTGACTAGATTAAATCTCCTATGAACAGTGCATAGACAGGTATTTGACTCCCCTCTTTTCCTCTTCCTCTATAGCTCAATCATCAGCATGTCCTGCCATTTCTAAACCCAGATCTTTCTCATCTGTTCACTTATCGCTATCTCTGTTACCACTGAGTCTAGGTTGGCTCCTTTACTGTGTGTCTTCTGTTTCTCCACTTGCTGCCTGCCTCCTGTCCCATCTGACCACTGCAATTAGGATAATTTTTTTAAATTTCATATTATACCAATTCCTCATTTAGCTCTTTCAATAATTTCTCATTGTCTTGAGAATAAACCCCCTAACTTCTTTATCTACCCTTCCCCACATTTCCTACCGCATCCGCTGGCTCTCATTCTCCTTTGAGTTCTGCCTTCTGGCCATACTGTATTTTCTGTTTTCCAACATATTATGCTTTAGGATCTTGAATACAGTATTCTCTTTACCATGAATGTTCAACTTATTCTATCCCCTTCCCATGGCTGACTCCTAGCCAGCCTTTATTTCTCACTTTATACATAGGTGACCTGAAATCCTGGGCTCCCCTTGAGATGACATCATCATATATGCTCTGTAAAGAAAGGGGTTCTGTCTGATTCAGTTATATATCCCCTGAACCTAGCACAATACCCAGCAGAGAGTAGATACTCAGTAAATATTTATTATATAGAATTGAATTAGAAAATGTTGAAAGAGGGAAAGACGAGATACATAATACCCCTCATGTGTATCTTCCCAAAAGGATTGCTGACCTAAGCATTTCACCAGTACCCAAGTGTTCTCTTTCATGTAAAATGAAAATGAAAGTGCTTTAAAAAATGCATTTATCCTACATGAGTGAATGACTACAAAATGGATTCGGAGAAAGTCCCATAATGCACAAAAGCTTTAGATCAAGGCATAGGGAGAAGAGACAGAAATGGATAGGGAGGAAATCTAAAGGAGGCAGAAAAGATCTTGAGCAGAAGGGCAAAATTGTCTACAAGTTAGTTAAGAGAGGCCGATTGTGTGAGAAGAGTGTTTTAGGAGATTTTTGAAAAATTGCAGCTAAAATGACAGTTATCATGTAGCAAGCAAAGGCGCTACCAAAAGTATGATGAAGCTTGAATGCAATATCATATTCTACAGAACTCATCAGAAAAAATACAGATGGGATGGAGAGAAGTAGAGGGTTCTTAGTTCAAATAAGAAGAAATTAGGAAAAAGAAAATCAACTTCTCTAAGTACAAAGAGAAACTCTTGCACCAGGGCTCTGTAAATACCACTAAAGCACGTGAAATAAGAAGCAGAATCATCTGTTGACTCCTCACTCTTCTTTCACTATTTACCAGTTATCTAGCCTTAGCAGATCACTAAAGCTTATTGCACCTGATTTCCTTGGTGAGAAAATAGGAAGGGCAAAGGAACTAACAATTATTGAACACACTGCTTACATATATTATTTCATTTCATCTTCGTAAGAAGTAAATTTATGATCCCCACATCAAGGATGAGAAAACTGAGGCTTAGAGAGGTTAAGAAATTGACCTACATCCGCATAGGATTTGAGCTGGAGTCTTAGTCCCGAAGTTCACGAACAACACTGGCCAGAGAGGTGTGGCAGAATGTGAAACACCAGACTTTCAACCCTGGTCCTGGCTCTGCTATTTATGAGTTTTGAGGTCTTGGCAACTAACTTAACATCCTGACACTGAGATTTCTTCCTCTCTAAAATGGTGAGGTTCATACCTGCCCTGGGAGCTTACCTACTCCTCCCAAGTGGAGGCATAACTAGATTTTAACAACCACAGATCATTAATCAGCCCAGAGCCAGGCATCCATGTACTTTTATGCATATGTCAAGATCTGGCTTTCACAATTCTTTCTCAATTGTCTTTTCATCATAGTCTTAACAAAAATTGTGTCAACACTTTACTTGAAAAATATGTTGCAAAGGCACTACTCTTGGAGAATGTGTTCTTCCATTCCCCTTCCTAGCTGAGTGAATGAATACAAAGAAGATGTGAGGACCAAATGAGATGGGGTTGTGCAAACTCTCTGCACAAGTAGAAGTGAGCATGCCCATGGGTGGTTAGGCATCTCTCCTACAGAAAGTCCTATTTAGTTCACATTTTTCACTTTCCCTAAAAGGAGAGGACTTCCCCAGTTCTCATTAGATAAGGTCATCTGTTACAATTGCTTAGGATGTTGTGAATTTCCTCCGTGTTCAGGGACTCCCATTTTGACACATCAAGACACTCGAGTGGGCTTGTAAAATCAGCAAACAGTGTTATCTTCCTAAATCTCACAGAGTAGTGATGTTTTGTACCCAGAATAGCTCCATTGTAAGAACTTATCCCACTAAAGGTCAACACATAGAGTTACACACTCCAGGGAAAGAGTATGCTTTTGTGAAAAAGCATAAAGGTCTCTGTGTGTTCTTAGAGCAACCCAACATGATATGGCTGAGTCTCCTGAGAATGCTGTGGCAGCTCTGAGATGACGCCACCAGCCTATGCCATTTCTAATCTGATTAGAAATCAACCTTCATAAATGTGGGCAAAAATCTACTTACAGCTTAGAGAACATTAGCAGCCTTTTAATCTAATGAGCCTTGAGTATCCTTTCATTTTCTCTAGCAAGCCATGGCCTATCTTTTGAGCTATTAGAATCAAAGCCTGTCAATACCAGTCCTTTTGCAGAATGTGTTTAATCTCTGTTTCATAAGTCAGTATCCTAATGTAAGTAAGAATAAATTAACATTTATAGTTCTTACTATGCATGTTAAATAAATGAGTACATTTAATCTTGCTGAAGCCTTATAATTTCCATGAGGTAGGTAATTATAGCCATTCTTACTTTTTTGGGAGGGAAGTGAGGATCAGAAAGGTTAAGGAAATCTTGGAACTGTGATTTGGAACTATGAGTCAAGAACTGTTAGTCTTGACTGGGCCTAATAATTCCTGTTATTTTCACTCTAACACACATTATTAGAAATTAAATATTTTTTAATCAAAAGAGGATCAACTATTGAGATGCAAAAAGGACTGACCAAGTGCCCCTCTCACTCTGAATGAGATAAAACATCTAAAGATGGAAAAGATGATACTATCAGCATATAGAATAAAACAAATAAACTGTGCCTGGCACCATGCCCTATACAGTCTGGAAAAGAGGCAAACGCAAAGGACCACTAGAAAATATAGATATAATGGAAATAGACTATCCTGTGAGAAAATAGCTATAAATTAGTACGCAAAGGCTCAATGCAGAGAAAGATGAAGTAGATCAAAGAAATAAAATGATTTCCAGTCTAACAAACTCTCTGTGGTAATATGGAAGGCATTAATGTATGTAAAGAAATGATGTGTCAATCAAAAAGGGAGTTGGTTGGCCGTGGAAGATGAGGGGTGAGTGAAGGGGGAGTCACTGAAGTCAACTTTGATGGGCTTTCTCTCTCTGCAGGAGGCAGCACCTTGGCCAGCAGACTTAGAATTCTGGTGCTATTGACCAGGCTCCACATGAAGACTGGACAGCAGGAAAAAGCTATCACAGCTGAGGAAAGCTGCATGTTGAACAGATGACTTAAACTCCTATTTTCTGATTCCAAGCTCACCAAAACAACTTTCTGATTATAATTTAGCTTCTCTACAAAAAGGAAAAGTACAAGTGCAAGTCATGCTGACAGGAGAGCTCAGGTCTTCTGAGATTTTATTTCTTATTCTACATTAGTAAACTGACATTATGGTTTTCTACATCAGTGTCTTGTAGCTTGACTAATGCTGGATCAATGCCTGGGAGGTAAAGCCACTCTTGATGTGCTGGTCAAAACTGCTGATCAGGATTCTGACTCTGCAAGGTTGCTGTCCAGGCTGAAACCATGAAGAAGTCATCATGGTAAGGTGACCCAGTTGCCCTTTCCTAGTTGACACTTGCCCCTACATGCCCCAGTTGCCCTTTCCTAGTTGAAACTTCAGTTATCTCTGTGTGTATCTTCATTCAAACTGCAGGCCTCTGTGCAGTTATAGCAGTGAACAGAGCAGAAACTATCCCAGAGGAGGCACTTGCCTTAGTGCAGCGTCATTAAAAAAAGGTGTGGAAGTGGATATTGAGAGATGCTGTCATTAAATAACACCTTCGCCACTAATTAATTACATGACTTTAGAAAAGTCACAACCTCCTCAAGCCTAAAAACCCACATCTATAAAATGGGAATAATGTTGCCAAATGAATCCCTTCAACGTTTGTTCCCTTTCAAGGAAGCTGCCACATAAAAATGTATGAATCGTGGGCAACTGAAATTCTCTTTTTCTCCAAGGCAAACACACAAAACTGTATCTCAAAACTGCAGGATATCAGGCCGGGAGACATGGCTCACACCTGTAATCCCAGCACTTTGGAAGGCCGAGGCGGGTGGATCGCCTTAGGTCAGGAATTCAAGACCAGCCTGGCCAACATGGCGAAACCCCGCCTCTACTAGAAACACAAAAAATAGCCAGGTATGCTGTAATCCCAGCTACTCAGGAGACAGGCAGGAGAATTCCTTGAACCCGGGAGGCGGAGGCTGCAGTGAACTGAGATCGCGTCACTGCACTCCAGCCTAGGTGGCAGAGTGAGACTCCTCCATTTCAAACAAACAAACAAAAAACCTGCAGGATATCAGCCTGGTACTTGCCATCTGCCAGCTGAGTCACTTTGGGCAAGCTTAAAAACTTCTGGAGTATCTGTTACTTTGTTGGTAAAGGAAAATTTACTAGATTATATAAAAAGCCCTTCCAAGGCCAAAGTTTAGACCTAAACAACCAGGATTTTATTGTCCACAATGGAGTGTTCTCTTTGAATGCTAGGTTGACTGCAATAGCTTTCTCTTTGCCTTGCCTGAATTCAGTAAAGTTCTCTTCACTGTATCCCCTAGATGATCCTAGAACAATCTTAATAAGACTTAAATCTGACCATGTTACACCCTTGCTCAGAAGGCTTTCAATGAAGGATCCCTCCATTGCCTTCGGAATAAAGATGAACATTTCCTACTCGGCATACAAGGTTCTTTACAACCTCGTTCTTGCTTTTCTTCTCTCCTTTGCCCCATGTCTCCTCTACACAAATATTTTGTGCCTTGGTCTTAAGAAACTATGTTCAGCTAAGGATGGCTCCCAGATATCTAGTTTTGATACCCTGATATGTGATAAGAGTTATCTTTTGGGCATGTAGATTTAGAGTTGATTATGAAATATCCAGTTAGAAATGTCAGGCAAGCAATGAGCTATGTGTGCCTAATGCTCATGGGAAATTCTGCACAAAAGGAATAGAATTTGGAGTTATCCAGGCAGACAAAAGTTGACTCTGTGCAAGCGAAAGAGATCACCCAGGAAGATATGTGGATAGCAAGGAGTAAGAGATTGGCAGTATTATAGAATACTGATTAAACAAACACCAACATTCAAAAACTTTACATTAATTAATCCAATTCATGAAGCATTCTATAATTCAAACACCAAATAGAGCATAAAGATCATCTTGTCCCATGTCAGCAATAACTACTATGAACAAAGTAGATAAAGTAGTATCTTACATATTTTTCAAAAAAATAAAAACTGAGGCTTTGAGAGGCTATAATCATTTGTGATAGGTGACCAAGCTGGTTAATGAGGAAGCTAGGATTTATAGTCAAATCTTTTTTGCTTTGATGTTTGACCCAAGCTCATCTTAAAACCACACTTGCCTGCATAAAGCAGACAATATAAGAGTGCTCCTCTCAGACAATAATAGAGGCAATAAACTAAGTAAAGCTCAATTCAAATAAAAAAGTGATTATGATTAATAATAAAAGGAGTATTAGACCTTAATTATTGAATTGTTTAATGATGGTGTCTTGAGTTTATTTAACTAAGCTGTTTATTTGCAAGAAGTAGAAAACTAAGGATTTATAGCTAAAAGAAGAACATTCTTATCGTTAGAATCTATTTGCAGGCAGTTCCTGTGATAAATTATTATAAAGAGAAGCTTAAACTTTTATTTACATACAAACTTTCATTACCTACATAATGGAATAAGAATAGTATTACATAGTTAAAATAGGCTTTCATTATACCGTCAAAATTCCACTCTTGATGAACATTAGGAATTTGTGATCAACCTACAAGACACACTCTGGCCAGATTTTCTCCCATCCCAGACAGAAAATCTGGTCAAAGTTCCAAGAATCATTCTATATCACACACTACATACCTTTGGCTAATAGAAACACTCTTTAAATTTAATGTTGCTTAACTAATGCTTAAGCAAAACAAGCTATTTATACAATATACATGCAGCAATTGATATGGCTTATTCCCTTTCTTATTTATAATCATTACATTCTCTAGCTTCTGAAATAGTTCTTAATAGAATTTCCTCATTATTATTATTTAGGGCTTAATGCAAGCTATTGGGAGCAGTGAAACTTCCAAAACCTGAGGTAAAACAATTCATTGGATTGTGGTGTGACTGCCATATGACTGTCTTCAGAGCCAAGTTTTGGAGAAAGCACGTAGGCTTGTGTGTGTGTTTTCTCCCATGGCATCTTGGCCTGTCCAAAAATGTTGTGCTTTCAGACATTCTTGCAATATTCTAGAGGAAGATTTGGAAGTAGACAGTTGCCAAATACCATTAGTTTCCGTGGGAAGCCAGCTAAGAAAGGTAATTCTCAGGGAGAGTAATGCGAGGAAACAATTAGCCATTTTGACAACCTGATTTGTTGAAATGAGGCTGCACTACCTCCAGGGACAATCTAGGTCTCCATAGAGCTCAAAGTAAGGGTTCAAAGACACCAACATTCCAGGGTTTTAAGGCATTTAGTCCAGTTCAAGAAAATTTTACAATTTGAACACTAGACAGGGGAGAAAGGCTGGGGAAGATTATCTTCCCCTATGTCACTGATAACTTCTGTAGGCACCGCAGGCAAATTAGCATCTAACCTATCATTCAGAAAAAAAGCTGAGTCCAAGGGTACCAAGTTTTGGTTATACAAGATGAATAAGTCCTAGAGATCCACTGTACACGATAGTGGCCTTTGGTTAACAATACCGTACAGTATACTTAGAAATATGCTAAGAGAGTATATCTTAAGTGTTCTTATTGCAAAAATAATAATAAATAAAAGGGTGGGACGTGATAGATATGTGGTGATGCTTTCATGAACATATGCTTTTCATGAGTACGTACTTTTCTCAAACTCATCAAGTTGTATGCATTAAATAGGTTCTGCTTTTTGTATGCCAGTCATACCTCAATAAAGTGATTCAAAACAAAAAAATACACAGTAAAAATTTAAAAACTGAGACGTTGAGAAGCTATAATGATTTGTGAGTTATATATTTCTATCACTCCCTTGCAATGCTGGTGAGGTTTTCATAGTTTGCTTCTTTGGCTTCCAAATCAAATGAAGTGTTGATGCCTTTCCATTGAGCTGAAGAGTCCACTTCGTTCTTCGCTTCCATCATATCTCCCCACGTGTTGTTACAGCAAAAAAAGAGGGAGAGGGAGGGAAGAGGAGGAATGCTACTCTAGGAGCCTTCAGCATGGATATAAAATGAGGATTCCTGGATTTTCTGGAGGAAAATTGTGTCCTTGAAAGATATCACACTTCTCCTCTTTCCATGAAACCTACAACAGTCACTGCTAATTGATAACTACATCTCTATCCCAGTGAGGGATGCAGATTCTCAAGGTTTCTCTACCTAACATGCCAGGGTGAAATTTGCCAATCAGCCAGAGTAGGTACCTAATAGGAAAACATCTTGGCCACCTCTGACTTTTAGTTTCCCCAATATCCTAACATGTAAAATAAGAACAGCAAAGCCCACTGCACAGAGCTATTTTCTTTTAAATACATTGTTTTATTTGACAAAAGATTTTATATGTTTACTGAAAACATATTAAATTAAAATATCAGAGCTAACCAAAAGAAAAAAAAGTCATAACCAGAAAAAATATAAATTCAGATATAAGATACTGTCTCAGAGAAGAAAATTATCACTGATAATTAGGGCATAAGATTTTATAAGATTGAGCTGTGTATTTCAACTCTAAGTTTCCTGCAAGCCAACATGCAAAGAGAACTTGGGTTATTCTTTGGTCCTCATTATCCAGGAGAAGAACACTAGGTGTTAACAGACATTTTTTACAGAAGTTTCATGTAGAAGACAAAGATGTGGAGGGCAGTGGTGCAGGGTTAATGGCTAATGTGTAAAAAAAAAAAAAAGAAAAGAAAAGAGAAGAAAAAAATTGCAAATTAAAGTGCTCTACTATATGTTGAAAGTGAGGACAGTGGTGAACTTGGGTGTCTTTTAGAAGAATTTTACTACTAGCTGACAAAAGATGGAAAGATAGTAGGTTGAGAAATACTGTGGCAGAAAAAAAAAAGGAGACAAGGGAACAAGTGCTTTATTATTAACTGTTACGAGAAAAGAATAAAGGTTTCTCTGGGTCTGTAAGCCTCAAGACATCAGGCGATAATCATTCAGGCAAATGGAGTCAGTTTAACCAGTGAGCAATGGTGCCTTCAAACAAGGCCACAAAACCAAATGGTTTCTAATAGAAAAGCAAGCCCAGAAAAACTTCTAAAACTAGAATTCTAATTCAGAGACTAGGGCTCTGAGAGTTTAAAAGTGGAACATAATGTCAGAAACTGCATGTGGGCTTCTTTTGAACATCAAAATTATTAATATTGGCATAAAGAGATAACTCTCTCACATCCACCCCCAACTTAAGAGATGCCAGGGCACCCAACCTAGGCAAAAGGAGGACCTCAAAGGCAAGTGGCACCCATTGCTCATTGCTTATCAACTACATTGCTTCCCCTTCTGCTCTGACCACAGAAGCCTGGTTTGTTAAGGTAGGGTTAGAAAGCCCTTGTTCTGAGAGAAAGTAGGCCCCTACCACACCCACAGAAGATCAGAAGATGAAGCATGATTGGTCCACACCAGGCCTGGTAATTGTATCCCTTCCTCCAGTGATTGGTTTTGGGATGGGAACATAAGATACAAGGAGATGGCTGGATGTGGTGGCTCACACCTGCAATCCCAACACTTTGGATCACCTGAGGTCAGGGGTTCGAGAGCAGCCTGGCCAACATAGCGAAACCCCATCTCTACTAAAAAATACAAAAATACCCAGGCATGGTGGCAGGCACCTGTAATCCCAGCTACTCAGGAGGCTGAAGCAGGAGAATCGCTTGAACCCGGGAGGCGGAGGTTTCAGTGAGCCAAGATCGCGCCATTTTACTCCAGCCGCATCAACAATGAAACTCCGTCTCAAAAAATAAAACAAGATATAAAGAGTTGTCTGTGAAAGAGTACCCAAGGCTCTGTGGAGGGCAACCAAAGTTCTTTGTGCTTTCTTCTTCCTCCAGCCTGTAAAGAGGTTATGATGCCTGGATGTGTGGGAACCATATTGTAACCATAAGGTAACAAACCTGAGGATCGCAGCCAACATGCTATGTGTGGTGGAGCAAAATATGGACTATATTCCATAGCGGCATTGTTGGGCTGTTACCAGCTCTGGGCTGCCTCGCTTGGAACTTCTTGATATGTAGGAAGAAAGTATCTTTATTTGCCTAAACTACTATTCTTGGTCATGGTAGAGGAAAAATGACAAAAAAGAGCAGCATCTACTGTGTTAATCCAGACTCAAATGGAAGAGGTGAGAATGTGTGATGGAGAACTTATGACGGAGAATAGGATCTGGGGAAGAGAGTGGAGGCTTGGCGTTCACAGGCAGGCTCTGGGACAGAGACAGAGACAGTGTGGTAAGCACATCTTTTAATTCTAATCTGCATTCACAGTCCACAGAGCTTTCACTTTGCTACTGCAATGTTCTGGGTTTTTTTCTGTGGGCCCACACGAGCACCACATGGTCAAGGCAGATTCCACTGGGCCTGGGCTTTACTCAAAAATCATTCTTCCATCTGCCTTCTTATTTCCCTGATCTAATTCCTGTTTGCTTGTGGCTCTGGTTTTAAAGCACCCCCCCACCCCTCACCACAGTGTTAAAATGAAAAGCAAAATCATAAAATAGATAAAACAAAAGACAAAGAAGAAGAAAATCATAGTGGGGAAAAAGAATGGGGTGGGGAATATTTCTTTTTGCCCTGTGTCTTTTCAGCTTCCCTCTTCATGCGTAGAGTTTTCCCTAAAATAGGCCAGTGCAACAAACAGCATGGAAGAAGTTCCCATGGCTGATGACATAAAGCTCTCTGGCAGGTGCTTCTGGTTCCTCTGAAGTGATGGGCAGCAACACACAGATGGGAGCCACGGACAGATACCACTGTCCTGAGGGTGGGGTCTGAGAGGTAAATGGGAGGGGAGGGTAAAGCTTTCATATCAGCTGACATTCCCCCACCTAGGCTGGAAGTGACGGACCAAGGCTGAGACTCATTCCTCGAACGGGTGAGCTGACATCTTTGGGGACCAGGTTTGAGTTCATCAGATGCCCATTTAGTCTTTTCCACTAAACTGCTGGCTCCTTAAGGGGAAGGATGATACCTGCCTTAGCTCCTGCTCTATTCCCAGTGCTTAGCACAATGTATGGCACATAGTCGATGCTCAGTAAATCATAAATGAACGAAGACGTGAATGTTTAGGGAGTTAGGAAGTGCTCCATAAGCATTAGCTCTTGTAGTTGGTGGAGTGTGTTGTAGTTGCAGTTGCTGTTACTGCTGTGGTGGTAACAGATGGAAAGGAAAATTCCCTCCTGAATCCCCAACCCTTAAAATCAAGAAATCCATTAACTTTTTTAGCCCGATGCTGAGGCATGGGTTTTCTTGGCCCCATTGGCTTCCGTTGTACAAGATGTTACCTCCCACCCCGCGCAGTGATAGACAGAGCAGAGCAATCCTCAGGGACTGCTGGAGATAGCATGAGATGATAGCAGGTAAGCAGTACCTACTATACCCAGGTCACTGCCAAAAGCGAAGCCATCCTCCCCTTCCCTGCAGACTGCCTACCAGCCCCTAAGCAGCTTCCAACGACTTAACTGCTTGATAATGCTCCCCCTCCTCAGGAGACACATGCTGCTCTTGAATAGAAAGAGAGTTTCAGTGATTAAACTCACAGCTGTCGTTTAGAGCTAAGACTGGATTTCTGAAATTAATTTGAAAATGTTCCCATTTCTACCCCTCCCCCCCTTTTTTGCCATTTCCCAGTAAACTCTATCCCTCCTCCACCTGAGGACTGGGATGAGAGTGTGTTGGGCAGCAGAGCTGTCTGTGTGCAGCTGCAGCTCACGGGTCAAGAGCCTACTACATCAGTAATGAGGGCACCCATCACTTTGCTCTGCAAAGATCACAGACTGGAGCCACCCTGCTGGGAGGCCCCTTAATGAGCTGAACAGATTTTTAGTGTTCATCTTGGGGTGCAGGGTAAGGTGCCTTAGGGCCAACTCTATCCGGATTTCCTATAGTGCACTTGGGAACTGTGTTTGGACCCCTACTGGTACCTTTGGGTACCAATAGGACAGTTCAGCTTCCAAATCCCAAATCACCCCCAGCAGATGGGCACAGCCCGAGCAGAGGAATTAGAAGGCTGGACCATTCCTATTTGTTTGTATGTGTCTTAATCCTTTGTGGAACAAATAGGGGATTAAGTAGGAAGAACGGTAGGTAGACAAGCAGATAAAAGAAACATTCCTCTTTACATTCTCAGCAACTAACACAGCCAATATCACAAATGTGTGAGGCATTAAGAGAGGAAGGGAAGGAGGAAGGGGAAAGGGAAGAATGAGAGGATATACCAAGTGCTAAATTTTCCCAAAAAGCAAATTAACTTAACAGTTCATGTAATCTACCAGGAAGTCTTTTCTGAAATGATAAAATATATTTTCAATCGATGGTCACATCCATGACCTCCCTACACTACACACAGCAATATCCTGGCTCTTCTCCATCCCCTTGCTCTATTTTATTTTTGTCCTGAACATTTATCTAATAAGCTACATATATTTTACTGTATTCTGCTTATTTTTTATTTCTCCTCACTAGATTGTTAGTTGCATGGGGGCAAGAAGCTTTGTCAGTTTTTTATTCTCTGTATCCCTAGTACCCAGAAGAATGCCTGAAACAGAATAGGCACTTCATAATAATAAGTGAATGAATAAAAGTGTAAATAAATGATTGTGGGAATAATAGTCCTTATTACTATTAGAGTTGGGAACTCTTAAGCATTTTAAAGTAGGGTTAATATTACCCACCTCATCAGGTTATGGCATAAGGATTAAATGGGGCAATGTCCTTTAAGCATGTTGTGCAATGTCTGGCACATAGTACATGCCCAATAAAATGGTGGCTAATATTATTATACCCTCACCTAATAGTTGCAAGAATCAAGTGAGACAATTACAATTATCCAGCCCTATGAGTGAAAAAAATATAAGGCTCAGAAAACTTAAATAATTTCACTTCGATGATGTAGCTATTAGGCTTTCAAACCAATTCTGCCTGCCACCAAAACCTACAGTCTATCCATCACACCATCTTGCCTTTTAACTACATCTTGAACTCCAGGATGGCCACGCTAAGCGAAAGGTGGAGCAGGATGATGGGGAACCGAAAACTCAAGGAACCAATTAAATTAAATTTCAAATTGACATCTGGCAGCTTTCAGAATAAGATACATGGATCTATGTGTATGTGTGTAGTAAATATCTATGTGTGTAGCTGTATAGGGGATAGGGTGGGTGGAAAGCACCTTAGTTTGCTCCATGGGAGGAATCTACAGTGCTACACTGAAGTGTCATGAGAATGTCATGAGAATTCTCAGATAGGAAACGGCCATATAAAGGAGGAATCATTCCCAGACTGGATGTTGGAAGTCCTGGGTGCTGGTCACAGTTTTCCATCTAATGGGGATGTCTTAGATACATTTCCCTCTCTAGACTGTGTTTTCCTCATATGTAAAATAACAAGACTAGAAAACTGACTTCTAACTTAGGTCTTTCAATTCTAACAGACTTCTCTGAATTTGTGAAGGTAAATGAACTCAAGGATGTGAGAAGACTTTGAAACCCCTAAAACAAACCCCTAATATGAATTAAAGATATCAACTGTCCCCTAGAGAGAAGAGGATAAGAATTGACTGATCCACTGAGAAGATTCTACCTCTCCTGCTTGATCCCTTTGAAGTCATCTTTTAGGTCATGGTGAATTACATTCTCTAACCTAGTGTTCACAATTGCTCATCCTTCTGTTTTGCCTTAACCAAACTTCAGTCATTTCTACAGGTTCCTGAACACTGCTTGTCCCAAAGTCTGAGCACACACATAAAAGGGGAACATGTACCTGCTTACCAGCTTCTCCTGGGAATCAGCTGGTGACAGCAAGACCCTCTGTCCTGTCAGACTCCAGGGGTTATTTCCCCTTGTTTGTCCAGCTTCCTCCCACCCCAAAGATTCTGCTTATCTCTGCTAGCCTCCTCCTTTACCCTATGAAAGAAAAACATTTTTGTTTCTGTTTGATATTGAGATGTTTGCAAACTTTATTGTTATAGCATTCTCCGTTTTGCAATTGTCCTTTTCTTTCTCTTACAAGAATTGTTTTGAATAAAAATCTCTTCTTACTAAGTCCTGATTTGTTTTTCTTTGACATCTCAAGTGCTACAAATATAGGATCTTCTATAAATATCTCAAATTCACCGACTTCCCTTCACATCCCTGGTCAATGCCCTAGTCCAAATTTAGTCCACTGTCAACTCTTTCCTGGAGAACTAGTATTTTAACATCTATTCTTATGCTTCTCCAATCCACTCACTGTCCTACAGCCAAGATGACCTTTAAAAAAGCAAATCTGGTCATGTTATTCTCCTGCTTATAGCTGTTCAAGGGTCTGCCATTACTTTTAGGATAAATTCTAAATCAGTATCATACTCTACCAGTAGGTGATGACATGACCAAGCCCTGTCTCCTCTTCCCTCTCCTCCCCACTTCCACCTTCTGTGCTCCAACCTGACTTACCCTCTGTTCCTTGAACTCTAACTTGCCATACTTCTTTTTACCTATTGGGCTTTGTAACAACCTTCTGCCTAGAAGACTGCATCCATCTTTGTCTGGTAACACCTTCTTATTCTTCAAATGTCAAGTCAAGCATCATTCCCTCTGGAGCTGTTTCCCTGATCACCCCTCAACTAGGGCTGGCTCTCCATACTTCTCAAGTTCAAAAGTTTGAAATTGCATGTTTAGTTGTTGATTACTTGGTAAATGTCTTTCTCCTGTCACTAGACTATAAACTCCATGAGGCCAAAGATGCATCACATTTTGCCCACCATTGTACCTCTCAAGGACTAGCATGGTATCTGGCAGTTAGTCATCACTAACTAATATTTGAGTAAATATCATTTAAAATGACATTGTGAAGAATAGCATGATATGCAGGAGTGCTCATCTATGTATGTCTTTGAAATAACATCCCTTTGGATAAAATGACTTTCTTTTCATCTTGCATCCAAAATTCATTATGTTATCTCTCAAGTAATGGGAAATATAGGAATTAGTAAGATGAAAAGGGTGTGTGTGTGTGTGTGTGTGTGTGTGTGTGTGTGTGTGTGTGTGTGTTTCAGATGCAGATACGTGTGTTTGGCTCTTTTAAACCTACATGTTTTTCACACTAAATCCCTGATTCAACTGTAGCCAAAGTTTCTTTGCCTCAGTAGAGAAAAGTCTTACTATGCTCACTGCATTCGAGAGTGGAGAAATTGAAGTTCTATTCTGACTGAGATTTAGGCCTATTCTCTTTCCCCCTCCTCTGCCATCTACAGTCAATCTTGCATCTTAAACAAGGTCATTCATGCAACAGTAAGAGCAGGGTCTTTGTTCAATAGACTTCATGTTCAATCCATCTTCCTGGAGGCAGCCACCTGTTATTCTTAGGGTGACCTTGAGCTCCTTGAAGGCTAGCCTTTGTACCCCTTCTTCTTATCATAGTGCATGTCATATAATACGGTCTCAATAAATACTCTCTGAATGGTAGTAAACCACAGTGGTAACAGATGGCTTTCTGCTAACATTCTGTAATATTAGCCTTACATAGTATCCCTTCCACTACAAAATCTTCCCAAATAAATTTCTCCTTTCCTGCACACTTACTCTCTGAGTCCTCATGCAATATAGTTGACTTAGAGCAACAAGCTCCTGACAAAATTCTGGCCAGGAATATTTTCTCTCTGGGAGACAATACAAGTTATTAAAGCTAATCAATTTAGTTAGTCTCCTTGTTACCTCTGACCACTCTGAATTGGCTTTTCTAGCACTCACTGATTCCTTGACATTAGTACACTTTGCTTGGATGGTCGCATTTCTTCCTTAGAAAATTATCTTTGAAATGGCTACATAGACTAGGCATCCTAGAGGAAATGTTTGACTGTTAAACACAAAATATAAGTCTAAAGTAAGAAGGTTTGCATGAGAGGGAGAATATATGGGTGAGAAAAGGATTTGTCAAGTTTTGGATGCAAAGACTGAGGATACAGGATACCTGTGCCCTGAACCTATCACCGTCAACAACAATGTGTTGAGCACGTTCTATATCCCAGGCATGAGGCAGAAAATAGTGCAGCAGGCATGGTCCAAGCTTTCCATGAGCTTGGTGTCTAATTCAGTAACCAGATTATTATTTCAAAAAATAAATACAAACTAAAATCTGAGGTTCAGACACAAAATAAACAAAATTAAGAGGCCCATCAGCAGAGAACCAGGACCCCAGGTGTTACAAAGAATGGAACCAAAAATAATGAAGCCTGAATACCAAAACCCTATGCAGTGCATATTCTTCAAAGCCCTGAGAAAACCTCAAGTAGAAAAAGAATCCCAGACTTGAGCAAATTTCAGTAATTCTAAATTTTCCAAAAAGCAAAAAACTAAATTCATTCCTTACTGCTCCTAGAGAATCCAAGTGTCTGAGAACCTTATCCCACTAACCTTTTCTGGCCTCCCTCCATTATATTTTGTAGAACCATCCTCAAACCATCTAACCTTTCTCTCATGTCTAGATTTTGAAGCTAATGATTTTCTGGAACTGGCCCTTTTAGGTCTCAGGCTTCATTGTTTTAAGCCCATCTAAAATAATGGTCATAAGCATTCTCTGCATTAAAATCAGAGCTAGTTTCTTACCTGGTCTAAGAGACTTCTGTGAAGCAAGAAATAAAACTCCTAGAGATATGATGAGTTGAAGTATCAATGGGAAGATACATTAGAACCACCAAACAGAAAATGGGCAGTGGAGAAGACTCTGATGTCTTCTGAAGCCTATGTGTTTGGAAAAAGGTCTCATGGCATTTATCAATATTGGGGCACATTAGAGGTTAACAGAAAGGATAAAAAACTAGTCTTCTTGGATCAACCTATGGACATTAGTGATAACAAAATATCAGGTAGTCTACTATAGTAGACTGTTTTATTGTTCATAATTAGTTGCACCTCCCCTGTTTCTGAATTATATACCCACAGCCTTTGCTTGTGACTTTGCAGTCCCTTCCACTAGAGTGGGTATAGTGTTAAACCACCCTATGTTGGGCTTGGCCACATGACTTGCCTTGATGCAGAGGATGTGGACAGTAGTGACAATGTATGAGAGGCAGACTTAGGTCTAAGGAGGTACTGAGTACTTGCATGCTCCTTCTTGTACTCCTTTCATTTGCTAATAGGAGAATATCCCCTGGGTAGCCTCTGGTCCAAAAAGAATGTGGTAATGAGGGAGCCAAAAGGAATGTAGTAATGAGGGAGTTAATGAATCTAACTTGAAACTTGCAGCTATTTCCAGCCCTCCACAGCTTGGAACAGAGCCACCTCAACCTATCCACAAAGTTGTGGGGTGGCTTGTTCACAGCATTACTGAGGCAATAGCTGGCAAATATAGCTACTTTGAAGTCATTAAAAATCACGTTTTTCAAGATTTTATGATTTGAGACAAAGATCATATAACACTGAATTGAAATTATGGTATAATTATGCAACTACGAGATAATTTTTGAAAAAAAACAGGAACTGGAAAAATTAGAATAATTACTTATAAAATTACATTAACATGTTATATATATACACATATATCTCCCAAATAATATATATATAGAATAGAATATATGTATTCACAAATAGTATATATTCAAGAATAGAATACACACACACACACACAGAGACACACACACACACACACACATATATATATACACATTCCCAAAATAATAGAATAAAGCATACAGATATGTTAATAATAACCATTTCTGCTTGGTACAGTTATGCTCAATTATATTTATTTTTGTTTATCATGAAATGCGTTTTGTAGAACCACCACAGGTTTTGTATTCAGGTACTCAGTTAATGTCGGCCAAAGAATAAGTTGAATTAATAAACTTCCATGTGCCAAATTTTCTACAGTAAATATATATTAATTTTAGAATTATAAAAATCAGTGTTTATTTTTTTAAATGGAGATTCATAATCTATAATGTTAGCAATAACCCACAGATGACAATTTTTATAAGGCTTCTTTTCAACAGTGATAAACACTCCTAACAGAGCTATAATCTAGAGACTGGTTTATTGAGTAGCATTTTATGAAGACAGAATAACAGTCCTACCAAAGTCAAGATTCATTATATCAATTGTCCCATCAAAGCCCCCAGGAACGCTACTCTGTAGTGAAAAGAAATTGAATGGGTCAACCATGTTCTCCACATAAGAAAAAAACTAAAGTGGTTTGAAAGGATCACAGGCAAGAAAAGAAGGAAGGTGAAAGAAAGGTGAGAAAGTGAGATATCTGAAGGGAGGGAGGAAGAAAGGGGAAAAAGAAAATTTACAAAGAAATAATTCTGCTCAGCCTCATCTGAGGACACATTCCTTGACCATCACGCCACCACCATCAATCTCCGCCTGCAGAAAGCTCAAGGGGCAAACCCAATGTTAGACAGAGAGGGGCTCCTTTGTGCTGCAGCCAAATCATTTCCCCAATTAGAGATTGATATACCAGTGCACTCTTCTGCATTCCTCAGCCATATTTTAGCCACCTGGTTTTATAGTCATTGTTTTGTCTTGCTAAGACCATTTCTCATTTATTGTGGTTCAAAAGGAGATGACTTCCAGGTTAGACAATGTGCTCAAAGAGGCCTTAGGGGCCTGTCCTCCCCTTCAACCAGATACCACTTATCTAGGTAGCTGGTAGGCACCAGCCACCTTGCAGTTTTGTGCAGCCCACATTTTATAACAGCCCTGAGTCAAGTCATTCTGAATAAATAAGGGTCAATCTCATCCCTCTGGGAGGGAAAAGCCCTTTAAACAATAGACATTATTGCTGCATCAAGCTTAAACGATAAATAGAAATGAAGAAAGGACTGTGTGGGGTTTATCAGGGAAAAAAATAATGAAGAATAGGGGGGATAAAGAAGAGGAAACAGGAAAAAGAAAAGGTAAGCAGGACAGGAGAGGGGTGAATAAAAAGGGAGTGAGGGGGAACAAAAGGGTATCATCCACGAAGTGCTCTTTTCACCAAGGAGAGCTGCAAAGTCACCCCATTGTTTTAGATGGTAGAAATGCCTGCCTCAGATGCATAAGCCTGCTTCTCGCTCTATTCCAGATTCATTCATTCCATGCCTGCCCACCTGTCCACTTTAAGCAACACTGAATCTTGCCGCTCTATAGCTAATACTGAGTTACAGGAATAGTTGCTACAGGCCCAAGAGGCTAGGCCCCAGCCTAGGGGAGCTTCTCATTATTTTTCTCTAGGCACATCTCCAACTACGAAAATCCTAACTTGTTATTGGGGGTGAGGGTGGGCAGTTTAGATGTCTAGCAGGTACTAAGTTCCTTCAAATTTGTCAGATAATAAACCAGAATTCTAACTATAGTTAACTTTAGAAATAATCCCATTCATTTTGCTTTGCATTCATTCTTTCATTTGTTCCTCCACAAACACAGATTGAGCTCCTTTTCCTTGGCACTGGGGATACATAGCCGATGGCTCCCCGTCTAGAGAAGGAGAGATGAGCAAAGCAAAAATTAGAGAGGTCCAGGTTTATGGCCGAAGAATTTGTGTCTGTGCATTCATGTGCATGTGTGTGCATGTGCATGTGTGTGTGTTTGTACATGTGGGTAAATATGCAGGTATGAGTTAGGGTATTTTGCAGCCCTGGATAAATTATGATGAGCCAAAAGTTTTGAGCTGTACTCATTTCATGCTCTTCTGGACCAGCCCCATGAAACTTTACAGTTCTTCTCCACCACCTAGGAACAAACAGTGTGAATGAAAAGATGTGGAAGATCCTGACTGCTTTTCTCAATCCTGAATTTACTCCAAATGGACAGCTTCCATCCCAATGTATTTCTCATGTTTGCCCCTTGGAAAGTCCTAAAGCAGAGAACTGACAAGGTTGGAAGAGGAACAAAAAAAGCCATCTCATTTCTTACAGCTCTCTCTCCCTCCCACAGTACCTAATCCCACCTCTAAGGCCTCCTGTTTAAATGAATGGCAAAGAATAATAGAAAATCTGATAGACTGGGTGAAAAATTCCTACCTTTAGTATTTGCTAACATTGCGACTATGGAAATTTATTTTAGTTTTCTGATCCTTGGTTTAAGTATCTAAAAATCTGAATGATACCACAAACTTTATAAGATCTGCTCTAAAAATTAAAAGAGAGAAGAATAATAATACTCCTCCATGTACTGAACACTTACAAAATTATAGGCATTTTGCCAAGATTTTTACACAATTATGTTATTGAAGCATCATAACAACCCCAGAATGGCTTTTTGATGGATCAGAAAACTGAGGCTAAAAAGGGGTTAAAAACACATCCAAGATCACATAATAGTGAGCAATGGAACTGGGATTCAAATCCAGCTTTTTGTTGTTGTTTGTTTGTTTGTTTTTGAGATGGAGTCTCCCTCTGTTGCCCAGGCTGGAGTGCAGTGGTGCAGTCTCAGCTCACTGCAACCTCCGCCTCCTGGGTTCATGCGATTCTCCTGCCTCAGCCTCCTGAGAAGTGGGATTACAGGCACCTGCCACCATGCCTGGCTAATTTTTTTGGTATTTTTAGTAGAGACGGGGTTTTCACTATGTTGGCCAGGCTGGTCTCGAACTCATGACCTCGTGATCCGCCCACCTCTATCTCCCAAAGCACTGGGATTACAGGCATGAGCCACTGTGCACCTCCCCACCGCCCCCACAAATCCAGTTTTGTCTGACTCCAAACCTGGTTCATCTTATTTAAGGACCAAATTATACCTGGCACATGCAGGTACTCAATAAATGTGAATTCCCTTTTTATACTCCCTTATGTGTGAATGTCAGTGGCTTTCATGGCCTCACTACAATTGTCTACTCCCTCCCAGGTTGCCCTTTTAGTAGTTCCCTTCTTCAAGATGATCAGGAATCTGCATATTTAGACCACTTCTTTAAGCATCTCTTTTTAAACAGATGTGTTGATAATGTAAGGTTTGGATAATGAGATTTTCCAGACCATAAGTTGCTAACTAAATAAATTGCCAAGCTTATTTGCAATAAATAAAGGGACGATTACATGTTAAAAAAAATCACAAGGACCCACTGAGCTTGTGAAGAAATCTTCTGACCCACACAGCAGGAGCATCTTACTCTCAGCTACAAAGGACCAGCCCAAAGGTACAAAGCAAGAGCACCTCTGAAATTGCTTTAGAATAGACAGATCTCATCAAGGATTCAAAATACTGAGTGATAAGTCCCAGCGTGGCTACTTACTACCTCTGTAACTTTGGGCAAGTTATATAATCACTTTGAATCTCAGTTATTTCTTTGCAAATTATAAGCACTGGAATAGTTGATTTTTTAAGGCCCTGCCCAGCTGTAGCATTCAATGATTTTGTGTCAGCTGACACTCGTCAAAATCATGATTTCCTTGTCTAGTGGTACCCTAAGATGTTCCTATGGTCAAAAATAAATTTAGCTTTGCTTTTGAGATATGTGACTTAACACACTCAATCTAGGACTATTTTGAGGAATAAGACGAGGTGGTAAATGTGATGTTACCTGAAGTGGGCCCACAGCATTTTTTTTTGAGACGGAGTTTTCGCTCTTGTTGCCCAGGCTGCAGTACAATGGCGCGATCTTGGCTCACCACAACCTCTGCCTCCTGGGTTTAGGTGATTCTCCTATCTCAGCCTCCCAAGTAGCTGGGATTACAGGCAAGCACCACCATGCCTGGCTAATTTTCAGGAGAGATGGGGTTTCCCCATGTTGGTCAGGCTGGTCTTGAACTCCCGACCTCAGGTGATCCACCTGCCCTGGCCTCCCACAGTGCTGGAATTACAGGCGTGAGCCACCGTGCCTGGCCCAAAGCATTTTTACAGGATAAGAAACTAACAAAAGCACTCACCCCACCACCACCATAAATGTACCAGTGAATCCTGCCAACTACACAAACCCATAGTCCATATGTGTCACTATCTCTGATATTCATGTGAGTTACTGCATTAACAATACATGCTTTCTCCTTGGAAGGGCATGGCCTGCTTCACAAAGACCCCTGTGAAGTACTGGAAGCCATCATTCCTTTCAGAACACAGAACCCTCTCCCACCTTCCCCCACTTCTCTCAATGACTGCTGGATTAACTCAGCAAGGAACTTAAAACCACAATAGGTGAGAACTGGTTAATGAAACTAGTGATGTTTATCCTGAGAATGACTGACAACATTTCAGTGGAAAACCTGATAGTTGTCTTTGAATAACTGAAGGTCTATTGTAGAGAAGGGTTTTAGCTTGACCTGTTCTGGACATCTCTAGGATCCATGGCATGATAAGCACCTAGTGAAGGTTTTTTTTTTTTTTTTTTTAGTGAATAAATCCTGTATAGCTCCCAAAGCCTGAACCAAGGCCAAAAGAAAGATTCTGAAGATGGATGATGGCTATGGTTGCACAGCAATGTGAATGTGCTTTATGCCACCGTATTATACACATAAAAATGGCTAAAATGAGGCCAGGTGTGATGACTCACGCCTGTAATCCCAGCACGTTGGGAGGCCGAGGTGGGCAGACTGTTTGAGCTCACAAGTTCGAGACCAGCCTGGACAACATGGTGAAAATCCATGTCTACAAAAAATACAAAAATTAGCCGGGTGTGATGGTACATGCCTGTGGTCCCAGCTACTTAAGAGGCTGAGGTTGGCAGGATGGCTTGAGCCCAGGGAGCAGGAGTTGCAGTGAGCTGAGATTGCATCACTGCACTTCAGCTTGGGCAAAAGAGCCAGGCCTTCTCTCAAAAAAAAAAAAAAAAAAAAGCTAAAATGGTAAATGTTATGTTATGTGTATTTTATCACAATTAAAAAAGAGTGTTTACAAGAACAGAAAACCAAATACCACATGTTCTCACTCATAAGTGGGAGTTGAAAAATGAGAACACATGGACACAGGGAGGGGAACATCACACACTGGGCCTGTTAGGGGGTGGGGGTCTAGGGAAGGGACAGCATTAGGAGAAATACCTAATGTAAGTGATGGGTTGATGGGTGCAGCAAACCACCATGGCACATGTATACCTATGTAAAAAAACTGCACGTTCTGCACATGTATCCCAGAACTTAAAGTATAATAAAAAAAGGAACAAAATAAAATAAAAAGAGTGTTTCAAAAAAGGGACTTCAGTTGTAGTGAAAGGAAGATTTTTAGACTACTTAGTAATATCCAAAAATGGAATGGCTGCTTCATGAAGAGGTGAGAATCCTTGTTACTGAGAGTAGTAAAGTATATCGATCACAGAAGAGAGGACTCAGGAGTGGAAGACCCAGAGATCACCTCAACGTATTCTTGGGTGACCTTGAGCAAGTTACTTAACCTATCCTTAACCCCAATTCCTCAGATATAAATTAAGAATGAAAATAGCACATATCTTATGTAGTTATTGCAAAGATTAAATAAGCTAACCACTGCTAAGCATTTAGTACATCATATGTAGATAAGAGTACATATTCCTATAGACTCTACACAGCAATTTAGGAATTTTGTCCAGGGGTATATATGCATCAGATATTGAGTTAGACTCAAAAACCTCAGAGGTCCTTTCCAACTTGAAAATATGGATGTGTAAACTCCGATAAAAGAGTCACCCCCCACAATCCCTAATAAATATTTTATCATCTATACAGACAACAGAACTGTTATTCATCATTTTTTTCTCCTTCTACCTCTACTCTCAATATAGCCTTGACTTTGTGGATTTCCACAGAAGGAGGCTCCACCTTATAGTGGCTGAAGATGCTAGGTTGCTTGTGAAAGTTTCATTACAGACTGAGCCATGGGACAAAGAGATCAGAGACAACTAACTGGCTGGAGATGAGATCCTGCTGAGCAACAGTGAGCTACTACAGGAATGATGACATTAGGAATCAGCTGCTATCTTCAGACCCAGAAAGGATGCTTTCCAGGATGGGGAGAATTCAACTAAACAAACATCAGAGCAGTTATCTTTTCTTTACAACATTGCTGATGGAGATAAACAATGTGCCAGCCTTAGCTGATGTCAGTATGTGGCCCCAGGTGACTGAATGAAAACAGTATTTAAATACCAGTGAGCCACAGCAGGAGGTTTCAAACAAGGGGCCTGCAGAGAAGATTGAAATCTGAAATGCACAGGGCTTTCTTACCCTGCAGAAACAAAGAGGGGGAACATGCTAATCGCACAGATTTCATGAGGCTTCTGATTTACTGGCCTCTTAGAAGGCTCTGTTGGGGTTTGTCATTTTGATAAGAGTGTCTTGCTATAAAGGTTAAACATGCTAAGAAGCATGAAATGATCTTCTCCAAGAAAGACTGCATCTACCTGGCAGAAAAATAGCTGTCCAGTAGCCCACAGAAGGGGGTCTTTCAAGAGCCACTCATATTGAAGGGTCCAGCCTCAAGTTCCAGATGTACTTGTCACCCCAGTATCCTCTCTGTTGGGCTGGGTTATTTGTTGGGGTAAGATGGGATAAGTGATGAAACAGAAAGAGAAGAGAAATATATACATCTCTTCCCTCCACATTTCCTCCCTCTAAATCAGTTGCCAACATTTCAAATAAAATTTATCAGTTAGAACAAATTACTGGAGATTTACCAAATGGCTTTGCTATAACGGCATGACTACTGCCTAGAAGATCATGAGACATAAAAGTATATCTTCACAAATATGCACAGATGCACAGATGCATGTATATTTCTTTGAAAAAGCCAATAAATAGGAACCAAAACGAGGGACTAAGAACATTCTATTCTATTCTATTGACCACTCATTTCCCACCTGGAGGCCTCAGTTTCTTCATCTAAAATTGGGGGTGGGTGGTTTTGCTAGATAGTATCTGAGCATCTATTCTACTGGCAAGATAAGTAATTACACAACTCTTTATACTCTGCCTGGTTTTTGTTGGGTCAGTCAAGTTTTAGGTTTTAAGTTTGGGACTTCTATTCTTGATTACTACATGTTTGCTGCTTTTTCCTCTTAACAGTCCTTGGTGGGATTAAAACAGAACCCATGATAAAACAGAAAACTTCTCAGAAGCTAGAGGAAAACTATACACATGTGCTCTAGGCACAGACACATACGTAATACTCAGTATCGGGTGTCATCACTATAAATCCCAAATGAGAGACCAGAATAGGGAGAAGTTCAAAATATGATTTTTCTATCTCCAAGGAAAAAAAATCTTTTAGCTTAATTTCAAATATGGCCAGTTTTACAAGACAAAGAGAGACAAACTACAACTCATTGTTTCTACCAAACATATGCCAAAGCTTGGTTGAGATCACTACAGTCATAACAGATCATTTTAATGCAATTCTTTAAAACCCGGGATTACAAAAGAGTCACATTTTAATTCCAAATACACCATTTAAAGTATGAAGAAAGGCATGCTTTGGTATGTTCTCTTATGGTCCAACCTTCTCAATTTTAAACTCTAACCTGTATCATATGCCTTAAACACAGAAATAAGACCTGGGTCATTTCCACCACACAAGAAAAAAAAAAATGGAGTAAAAACACCAGCCAGATCATTTTTTCAATTCTTGCATTGCTAAACTCCAGATTCTGAAAGGGGAATATTAACTTTGTTATCTATGTGAGCACATTATACACTTTGATTCTACAATGGAGCCTCACAATAAGCCAGTTAAACACCCACTGCCAATATTGTCATGGCAAATATTGAAACGGAGGCACAGAGAGAAGGTGAGAAGGTAAATACATATGTTCCGAGTGGGACCAAAGCAGGTGTAGGTTTGACTCTCAGCTACATCTGCTTAATGGTCACCACAGTCCTCCCCACTCCTCCTAAGAATCTCCCACTGATTCAAGATGGCTCAGAAGAAAGGAAGAAGCAAAAGGCTTCCATGGCCAAACCCTTGCTCTAATTCAATTTCAGCTATTCTTTAGCTGTGTGTAATTGATTACTAACTAAGTCCTATTGACATTGCCCCTTTTTTATTTATCAGATATGTTCGAAAACTCGACCTCCACTCTTGTTTCTTCAGGGAGGGCTCTTATCTCTCATTCCTGAATTAATACCAATGCAAACTGGACTATTATATGCTGACCTGTTGGTCTCCTGTCTTCTGTATTCAATTTATCTTCTGCCTCAGTGATCTGACCTGGTTATCCCATTGTTAAACGTGGTATGCTTCCTATAAGATAATGCCTAAACTTGTTGGGAGAGCAAAGTGTTTCATGGCTGGCTGGCCCTGTCACCCCTACAGCTGCATCTTCGAAAACTTCCCCTCAAATCCCTCCTCCTCACTCTTTAAGCCCTACATGCCACCCACATGGAAAACTTACTGTTTATTGAAGTCACCTTTATACATCTGTTCCTTCTGCCTGGAATTTTTTTTCCCCTGCCTGGTCTGCCGGGGAGATCTTTGATTCTCCACCAAGCCTCAGCTCTAGTGGCACCAGTCTGTGATGCCTTCCATGATATTTCTCCCCACACTCATGTCCCAATTGCTCAGATACCAGAATATAATAGCACATTTATGAGAACCACAGTCAATGCCTTTGTGTCCCAAGTGCTCAACACAGTCCCTGGCACGTAGCACTCAGTAGGTATTCAGAATGAATTGGGTGGCCCTTAATTTCTTCACGTAGAAAGTGAGGATAATAATATGCAGTCTGCAGAGTGGATGTGAGGGTTAAATGACTCAGTATATATTAAGAACCAAACATAGAGAAGGCACATCATTTTTTTCAATAAATAGTAGGTCTTTTAACTTTCCTTTCTTCTTAATCCAAACTGTAGTGAAGAAGGATTCATCTCTCTGTGAAAAGAAACATGAAGCCAGAGATGCTAGAAAAGCCTGCAACAATCCCCTTGTGTTGTGTTTCAAAGCACTTGTTTCTCATAATTTAGCAGCATTTCAATTATTGCATTATTATGGGCAGATGTCTGCTGGCAGTTAAGCTGCTTTGAGCACACACAGTAATAAAGATACACAGTGGCAATGTAAATGGCCACCGAGTCCCTGCATTTGACAGCACTGCAGCCAGCAGCAGGTGTGCCGTTGGTTCATAAGCAGCTGTCACACACTGCACCAAAGTGCTGACCCTCACATTCTCAGGTTGAATGCAGGTGTCGATTCTTAAAAGATCTCCAAAGTCCCCAGCCTGTCCTTCTTAGACCTCGAAACCTTCAAGACTCTAGAATAACCGGAATCTACAATCCTGATACTCTTTTTTAGAGTAACAGGACCAGCTGTGATCAGAGGTAGCTCAGACTCTCACCTGGTGGAATAACTCTCAGCTAGGGTTCATGTACTATGGAAAAGCTTTCTGCAATCATAAAACCCTGTGCTTGTGGAAAGGGAAACTTGCAGAACCGGAAGTTAAAAAAAAAAAGAGGCTGAATCTGTGCTCTGCTGGTGGCTGTCACCAGGGATACATTTGTATGACTTAAGCAACAACAGAAAAGCAAAAAAACAAACAAAAAAAAAAGGAGACAGTTTGATTTATGTAAATGAATTGCACATTTCTTGGGAAGCCCCTTTCTCAGATACATGTCATTATCTATCAAAAAGAGTAAACAATGGACCAAAGAGGAAACAGCCTTTTAATGCTCTTTAGAAATCTAAGGTTCGATTCGTTAATCCATCAATTAAAACTCAGGTCTGATGGACCTGAAGTGTACTCAGTACACCAAGGTATTCATTTTCTTGGATGAATGAATCAGGGAGATGAAAATTTGATTGCAGTGCTGATATAACTAAACCGAGTCCTAATCCAGACAGTTCTGCGGATTGTAAGGAACAAGGACTCACATTGCTGCCCTTCATTCACCTTTCTCTCTCTCCTTGGGATAAGAGAAAGCATTGCCAAGCTGATGACATTTGAGAATCAGAGTTTTAGAGTTGAAAAGGGCCTGAGAGAGCGTGAAACCCAACTGCCTCATTTTATTCTTGCAGAAAAGAAAGGTCAGAGGATCCATCTCCAGGTCAGACATTTAAATAAAGGATCTGGAAACCTACGAGGGATGAGGGCACAGCCATAACGCAGATTCCCCTCCTCAATAGCACTGAGACCAGTGAAAGCAACCACCATTATTATATTTGACCTTGGAAGCCCAGGTTTCTCTTATTCCCACACCAGTGAGATAGTCTGAGCAAGACCTCAGTGAATCCAGAACTAATTATAAAATGGTATAAAATGTGCGTCATATCTTGCTTTCTAATTGTTATCTTTTTCTTTCCTGTGATTATTTCCTGAATCATTGACACTGGTAGATTGCATTAGAGTTTGCAGATTATGTCTCTATCCCCTCTGCTGTGCTGTGAGCTCGTGGAGGACAGAAAGTGTGTCTTCTCTTAATATAAATGTATATCCTCATCAGCTCACAAAGCCTGACACAGAAAAGAGCTAAATACCTGTTTATGGAATCTCTATGTTAATGCTGAAGTTAATTCCAAAGAAGCATCATAGCTTCATTTCCTACAGTTTTCTGGACCAAAAGCCACTGAAACTAAAGCTATTTAAGATAGACTGTGTTGAGAATATAGAAATTTTAATAATTTAACTTTAATATTCTAAAGAAGACACAAAATGAATTTGGATTTTTCATAATCATATACTACATGCTATATAGTTGTCCAAAGAAGTGATAAGTATGGTTTGATCTAAAATGATAGAGATGGAAGAGAGAGTGGACAGATGCAGGATGGGTTTATAAGAGAAATGGATGAGACTTGCTGAGATAGATTGAATATCATAGGACAAAAATAAAAGAAAATGCCCAAGGACAGTAGGGATGCCATTTACCAAGAAGGGGAAAAACTGAAAGTAAAAGAAGTCTGGGGCAGGAAGGAAGACCTCAAGATTTCTGCTTTTCAATGATATGATTAAGCTGTTCCATGATACGATTAAGTCCAACAGGACTTCACAGGGTGGCAGGTGCTCTTCCAGTATATTCAAGAATTTCAACCTATCTGATTAGAATTAAGTAGCTATGTATTAAGTAGCTATTAATTAAGTAGCTTAAGTTAATCTATCAGATATCCAAATGGAGATGTCAAGTAGACAACTAGGGACATAAGAATCTGAGATTTCAGGGAGAGTTCTAGGCAAGAGACCTCAATTTGGAAGTCACTAACATATAGATGACCTTTAATATCGTGGCAAAGAATAAGAGCACCAAGGGAACCGTGCAGGCCAAGAAGAGACCTAAAACAGAAACCCTGGAGCCCTCCCACATTTAATAACCATCTAGTATATGTATATAACAGTATATATGAAGGAAAGGCTGCTCAATGTAATGGAAAGCCTGATGCATTAGGAATCAGGAATCATAAATTCTAACCATTCTATAGCAATTCCAAGCTAAACTGATGTTGACTTAACTTCTCAGGGCTTCCAATTCCTCATTTACCAAAACAGGAATGAGGTGCAGGTAACACTAACGGTATCTGCCAACCCTACTATTTTCACTATTTTCTTTTCTTTTTCTTGAGACGGAGTCACTCTGTCACCCAGGCTGGAGTGCAACTGCATGATCTTGGCTCACTGCAACCTCCACCTCCCAGATTCAAGTGATTCTCATGCCTCAGCCTCCTGAGTAGCTGGGATTGCAGGCATGCACCACCAAGCCCAGCTAATTTTTGTATTTTTAGTAGAGACGGGGTTTTGCCATGTTGGACAGGCTGGTCTTGAACTCCTGACCTCAGGTGACCCACCCACCTCAGCCTCCCAAAGTGCTGGGATTACAGGCATGAGCCACCACTCCTGGCCTCTGCCAACCCTACTATTTTCTTATGACATGATTTCCATGTGGCATATATGTAGCATTTCAATGACACAATCCAGCCTCATCGAAGATTGGTATCTCACCCTTTCCAGGCAGAATCATTTGCTTTTGCTGCTGCTGCTGCTACCCAGGATCACATAGGAGGTTGCCTAAAAAGGGAGGCCCCGAATGGAGAGGAGCAGCAGCTGCTGCCTGCATGCCTTTCCCACTGGAACAAGAGTCACTGGAGAGAAGTAAAAATACTTGTATTCTTCGTGTTCAGCTGGTGCATATGTCAGATAAATGTTGTACTGTAGGTTATTTTTCTTGACATTGGGATGAACTTGTGCTGAGCTTTATTTACTTTCTTGCCAAATGAATGCCAGGATATGTTTAGAAAAAGCCATTCAGGGAAGAGCATAGATTCAGCAATGGTCTAAAATTTAAGCTCCATGATGTACAAATAAATCAAACCCTTGGCTTTGCCTTGCTGGAACTTGATGCTCACCAATTGAACTAGACAGTTTGGCTATACCAGCAAAGATAAGATGTTGTCCCAGGTCAAGTGATCATAGCTCCTTAAGTAGGACTAACTCCAGAGCAGGCTAAAGACCAGCTAGACTGTTTCCTCTGTCCAACAGGACTTCACTGGATGGTAGGTGGTATTCTATGATACTAAAGAATTTCAACCTATCTGATTAGAATTAAGTAGTTAAAACAGGCCTTTGCTGTTTAGGTCATGGAGACGTCTCTCACATCACTATGAATAGCCAACAAAAATAATTAGAGCTAAACAGTTGGGATAGGTAGAGACAGCTACATCTTAGAATAGCAACAGATTATGCTGAAAAAAATCTAAATACAATATCAATCAAGCCTATTTTTAGACATCAAGATTTAGAGTAGCTCATCTTCACAGGCAGAAGAAGCACTCTTATGAGGGTAGAAGCAGGAGTTATCCAATTTTACTGTAAGAGAAACATACACATGCAAATTAATCTTAGTATCATATACACACTTTCTACTTCCCAGGCCTTATTCTCTGACTCTCTTATACTTGGCTGATGACTTTGATCCAGGAATTGTCTCTTAGATTTATCTGTTGCTGACTTTGCTTGGGTCATTGGTCTATTTTGATGTAGTGTCTAGTGTCTGACCTGGGCCATGAAAACTCCAGTTTTCAGCATTCCATCTATGCTTTCTTCAGTGTATATACACAAGTGCTTCTTTCTAACACTCCCATTCATGTGTGGGCCCAGTTATACCAATGGACTCACCCCCAAGGAAGTTCCAGTAGAGAACACAGTTTGAGCTACTGGGACACACAGCCTTAAGAATTGTCTTAGGCTTAACACATTTAGTACAAATGATCCATTCTAGACTTAGACTTGATTCTAGAATGCTTCTACATAATAAAAATTAGAGAGAGAATGGCAAACTGAGTGATTGTGTTGATGTTGTTATGGTGAATGGGGCAGGGCTCCTTAATCCGAAAAGTATTCCATTCCTGTATAGAGAGAATACCCAATACATTTTCTTCATTCTTCTTCAGAAGTGCCTAGAGTGGATGCCTAAAGTTAGAAATAGGAAATCTAAAATCCAAGAAAGCTTGGATCCCCTTCTCTGGGCCATCACTCCTTCCATATAGAAGTGGCCATTCTTGCCTGTTTGTCCTACTGTTTCCCTATAGACATCTGCCATAACATTAACCACATGTTAAACATTTCTCACATTTTCCTTTGCTTCCTGGGAGGACTATACACCCCTTGTTCACAAGTAAAGGCCGTGTCAAGTTGGTGTTTCTGTTTTGGATTTTTTGTTTGTTGCATTTCCAACCTCAAACATAGTGCCTGGAACACACTAGGGCTTCAATATATGTCAACTTCCTGCAGGAAAAATGAACAAAAGATACTCAAAAGAGTCTCCACTAAGGAATCAGTTTCCATAAAGAAAAACAATGTCATTGGGAATCTCAACTTTTCTTTGCTAGCAGAGAAGAGTCCTATAATTTTTACACTCCACTGATTCATTCTGAACATGGTGTCAGGAACAATCCAGGGGCAAAAAACAATTAGTAGGGGAACAAAACAATCAGTTGAACCGTCTGGGATTTGAGCGATGTATAGATCAAATATCTTAAATTTGCTAAGCTTCTTCTCATTTGGCCAGAATGGATGACTCTTGGCTGCACTGCACCAAGAATAATTGTCCCTCATATATCCCCAATCAGCTGCCTTTTAATGACTAGTCAGAAGTGACAATGTAAAAGGTGCAGTGACTTTCACTGTTCTTGGCAAGTTTTGGACCAACTCCCGTTGATTCACCCTTGAAATGGGTGAGCTCAGAGACACCTTGTACAGCTGGCTACAGTCACTGTGTCCTGCCTCTGACAATCACAAGGCCCTTGCTTGAGTTAAGAGGAGACCCAAGAAGAAGTGAGATGTCTGAGATGACCTTTATACTGTCTTCATAGACAACAGAAGATCTGCAACACTTTGGCAAACACCAAAACTGTCTCACGCATCTCAGAGACAAAAATGACCTTTCTATCTTCCCCAACCAGCACCAGGGTAGGTTACCCTACAAACATACTTGGAAAGAGCCCAGGCACCTGACAGACTGACCAGCCCCTTGTGGCCTATTCCTGTCCCAGATGAGTATTTCCTTATCATAGCTCCTGTTCTGGTGGTTGCTGACTTGAAAATTCAGTGAATTTTAATTTTAATTCCATATGCTCCAAGAAAGCTCTCTTTTCTTCCTTTGTCCTCATGTCCTGTATTCTATTTCTGATCTGACTGTAAAAAGGGTTTGTAGTTCTCTTGAAATATACCTTAGCTAGTAACACAGTTGGCCCCACAGTTGGCCTTACAAAAAAACAGGCCTTGAAAACTGGTCATTCAGCCCTTGTTCTAGACCTGGCCCAGGATCCATCCACATCACCTATCTTCTGATAGGCCACTGGCCACTGGTCTGTAGAGATGAGACCCTGCAGGTCTCTCCTCAAAACGTTCTTCTGTCTCTGAATCTCCATGTCCTTCTTTTCTGTCCACTAACATGCTACTGTCTTACATCATCTTATTACAGCTTATTATATAGATGTCTCAACTCCTCAGCTAAATAAATGATAATCTTCTTGAGGGCAAGAACTATACAGGTACAGCATTCTCAAAGCCCTAGAGCTATACCCTTAGCAAAAACTTGATCCTGATGCAAATTATCCTTTCATTGAATATAGAAGTTGACAGCCTGCGGATATTCAGCTTGATTCTGTGTGCTTGGCATATAAAAAAATAGACCAAGCTGCAATCTGCAAATAGCTTGACTGGAATCTCCTTGTGTTGATGTTGTCCCTCTTCTTGCCTTTATCTATGCCCTTTACTTAAACTGTAAATCGGGTGCAAATGTCAGATACTGAAGTGGTGAACGAAAAGGGAATCCTCCCAGCATTCTGGCCCAGTCTACAGGGTCAGCCCTCATCTCTTTGGTCCCCTCTCATGCCCCTCCTCCCCACCCCAACAGTTCCCCAATTCTATTCTGGACATTTTTCAGAAGGGAACAAAGCATCCAGTCCATTCTGGACTTTGTTCAGGTCCTCAACTGTCAGGGTTGCTCACTATACAGTGAACCTGTATGGTATGTTAGGTCTCCTTCCAAGGGCCTCCCAAGCTTCTCTATACCTTCTCTTTAATGATGTTGATGAGAATAATTATGACTATAATAATCACTAACATTAAATGCTCGAGAACCTATTAACTCATTTAATCATCATCAGTATCTTGTGAGGTAGGTACCTGATTTCTATTTTACAAATGAGGAAGTCAAGTTTCAAAGATATTGACTACCATGATGAAATTCCCATCACTGCATGAGGGCCAGATTTCTCACCCAGTCTGGCCCCAGAGTTTATGTTCTTAACTAATACATCACTCTGCCTCTTATAAAACTCACCATGTTTGTAATCAGTTATTTAATGGCTAAATATTCCACTAGGCAGCAAGCTCCATAAAAACAGCGATGTACCTGTCTTGTTCAACATTGTATTTCTAAAGCCTAACCCAGGAGTTAGCTTGTAGAAAGCACTAAAGAATCACAAGTCAAATGAATGAATAAAACAGCCAGTTGGCTAGGCCCCCTGGAGTCCCAAAAGAGAATTATTTACCCTCTCTAAATAGAAAATATTTAATCAAAAAGTATCATAATCACAGTAATATTTATTATAAAGCTTCCCTTTCTGCAACTCAGTCTTAGCCAAACAAACCCAAGCATTCAGAACTAGAAAGGGTGCAATCTGGAAATCAGTAAACCCAAAAACTCTTGGAAGAAAGAAAGTGCAGGTAGGTGCGAAGGCTTGGGCTGCCCAGGGATCCAACTGTAACACATCAGCCCCACTCAGGCCCTCACTTGCCATCCTCTAGGCCGACTCACCCCTTTCGCAGGTTCTTCCCCAGTATCCGGTGCCGGTGCAGTCGCAGATGAAGCGGTTCCAGCCGTCCTTGCACACAGCATTATTCTTGCAGGGGTAGCTGTCACACTGCTTGGCACTCATCCGTGAACAGGAGGACTTGACACCCGCAGCATTCTGCATCTCTGCCAGCTGTCGAATGTTCTTGCTGCGCCCATCAATGAATAGGTCGCGGATGCAGCCCACGTAGCCATAGTTGAGCATGGCAGTCCACAGCTCGGTGGGGAGAATAAGGCCAGCACGGTTCTCCGGCAGCCCTCCCAGGTACATGTCTCCTTCCAGGTCCAGGATCTCGCTCTCCCCACTGGCGGTGAATGGCGTGCGCCTGCTGTTCACTGATATAGTACCTGGGGTGGGAAGACAGATCTCAGGTGAGTCTGCCAGTTGCTTAACCAAATGTAAGAAACCTAACAGGTGAGTGCTGAGCCCAGCCATTGGCTGGCCAGGAGAGAACAATGTAAGCAAGAGAATTAGATGTTACAAGACAATGGAAAAGACAATGTAGGCCGTTTGGTTCCAATCTCTGCCAGCTAAGTCAAGCTGGCCCTTAGGAAGACCCAGAAAAATCTCAGTGACCTAACATCTAGTGTATCTTTTCTCTACTTAACCCTCTTGGCTGAGACCATACAGGTTGAGAGCAGCACAGTTCCTGCCTGTATTTAAATTCCAGCTCTAATATGTATGAGCTGTATAACCGTGAAGAAGTGACTTCACCTTCCTGTGCCTCAGTTTCCTCATTTGTAAAATGGGAAAATAACTGTCCCCACCTCATAGGTTGGTGTGATTAAATGAGTGAATATATGCAAAGTGCTTTTAAGAGTGACTGAGACAGAATGAGGCCTCCATATGTTTGCCTGAGTTTTCTTCAAGGGCTCACCAACCCCCAAAAGATGGAACTTCCTCTTCTGTCTCTCTCTCCATGCACTGGTACTCTCTAGATTGGGCATTCACTACCAGCCCTGCCAGTGAATATTTTGAGCATTCCCTGTGACACATTTTAACTGAAACATTATTCCTTATTTAATCATTTAATAAATGTGTATGGAAGACCTATTCTGTCTCTGGTATAGTTCTAGGCACTGAGATGAACTTGATAGGCATGTCTCTCCTCTCATTGAGCAGATGTTCCAGAACAGAGGGACAAAAAATAAATGATATGGTTTGGCTGTGTTCCCACCCAAATCTTATCTTGAATTGCCATTCCCATAATCCCTGCATGTTGTGGGACAGACCTGGTGGGAAGTGAATTGAATTATGGGGACATTACCTCCATGTTGTTCTCATGATAGTGAGTGAGTTCTCACAAGATCTGATGGTTTTATAAGTATCTGGCATTTCTCTGGCTGGCACTGCACTTCTCTCTCTCCTGCTGCCATATGAAGAAGGACGTGTTTGCTTCTCCTTCCACCATGATTGTAAGTGTCCTGAGGCCTCCCCAGCCATGCTGAATAGTGAGTCAATTAAACATCTTTCCTTTATAAATTATCCAGTCTTGGGTTTGTCTTTATTAGCAGCATGAGAACAGACTAATACAATAAGTAACCCAATAAATGAAATAAATTAGCTAAGGGCAGTTGCTATGAAGAGAGTAAAATGGGTGGTGTGCTAGTTACTCATGCATTCTACTTTAAAATGTAGAGTCACTGAAGGTCTCTCTAGGCAGGTAAAAGTGAAGCTGAAACCAGAATGTTGAGAAGGATTCAGCCATGCAAAGTCCAGGAGAGAGAGCATGCCAGGCAGAGGGGATGGCACCTACAAAGGCCCTGAGGTAGGCAGATGTGTGGCTAGAATAGAGAAGGCAAGAGGGGGTGAGCAGGAGATCAAGTCAGAGAGCTAAGCAGACCCAGGAAGGGGTTGGAGTTTGGACAGCATCAAATGAGATTGTAGAAGATGAAACCCCACAAGCTAACCTGGGACCTTGAGAGCAGGGATTCTAGTCCTAAATGTCTTTATGACCCTAGGCCAATCCCTGAACCACTTTATGGCTCAATTTCCCGAACTGGAAAATTAAGGAAATGGACTAGGTGATATCTAAACTTCCTGTCAGAAATTTTAAAATAGGTATTTATTATTCTTGATGTGCTTTATTGGTATCAAGATAAATGGGTCATGCCATCCATCAGTCAGCCTTCACCTCTGTCTGATTCTCAGTTTCTTCAGTTATGAAGGGTATATAACCTGAAGGGCTGCGAAGATCAGACGTGATCAAGAATGAAACATACACTTTAAAGTACAAAGTCGGCTGGGTGTGGTGGCTCACGCCTGTAATCCCAGCACTTTGGGAGGCTGAGGCGGGCAGATCACTTGAGGTCAGGAGTTCAAGACCAACCTGGCCAACATGGTGAAACCCCATCTTTACTAAAAATACAAAAATTAGCCAGGTGTGGTGGCAGGCACCTGTAATCCCAGCTACTCGAGAGGTTGAGGCAGGAGAATTCCTTGGACCCGGGAGGTGGGGATTGCAGAGAGCTGAGATCGTGCCACTGCACTCCAAGCTGGGTGGCAGAGTGAGACTAGCTCTCAAGAAATTTAATTAATTAATTAACTAAAGTTAAAAACAATAAATAAAGTGCAAAGTCAACACAAGAGTAGAAGCATAGAAAGGATATTAAGGGGAATTTAACAATCTGCTTCACTACTCCCTCCTAGAAGTTTACTCCTAGAGAAATATGCTTTGCCTTTTGTTTTTCAATCTTTCAAACACTTATATAACAACAATAATGTCCTGGCTACCATTTTAACTATTTTATGTGCATTTTTGGACTTGATCCTCAAAACAATATTGGGAGGTAGGAGTTATTATTTTCTCTATCTTACAAAGGAGGAAGTTGAGGTCTCTATCTCTTACTATTTTCTCTGTTGCATAGTTTTCTTTCTTTACCCCTCACAGGTCCACAGGGCTAATCTGATCACCAACTAAAATGGGGAGACATCTATTGCCAAGTAAAGACAATACTAGAATCAATTTAAATTTTAGAGCCTTAAATACAACCTGAGGAAAATCTGTTCTCTGAATGTGTGACCATAACAGTTTTGAATGCACTTAACAAGTTCTAAGACTGACTTGCCCAAGTGAGGAGTGATCATAAAAGTTTTTCTAGATCACTGTTTGTTATATTATTCTTCAAGATTATCAGGGAAGGAGGCACCACATTTAGATACACTTGTTTTTATAACTATCCTTTAGTATAGATTTATAATCTAAAACAAGTTACCAGAAAACATTCTCATGAAAAAATGAAAGTTTAACAGACTGTATTAAAATTTTAGATTATACTGCTTTCATGGGACAATTGTTTGTTTACTCAGTAAGTTTTTAATAGGCTTTGATCAAATTCATCAGTAGTTCAAAAAACTGGCCAGGCCTGGCACAGTGGCTTACTCCTGTAATCCCAGCACTTTGGGAGGCCGAGATGGGTTGATCATCTGAGGTCAGGAGTTCGAGATTGGCCTGGCCAACATGGTGAAACCCTGTCTCTACTAAATAGACAAAAATTAGCTGGGCTTGGTGGAGGGTGCCTGTAATCCCAGCTACTTGGGAGGTAAGGCAGGAGAATCACTTGAACCTGGAAGGTAGAGTTTGCAGTGAGCCGAGACTGCGCCATTGCACTCCAGCCTGGGCAGCAAGAGAGAAACTCTGTCTCAAAAAAAAAAAAAAAAAAAAAAAAGAGAAAAGAATTAGCCAGTGCTTTAGCTCCCAGGTATGAAATTTAAGACTTCTGAAATTCAAACATATTTGTTGAAGTTGGGTCCACTGGTGGTTTAAACAACAAAAACTGTTCCCCTTTGTTCAAAATTGTTTGAAAGAAAAATTTGTATTAGGAACAGACAGAAATGAACAAATGGCAATTTTGTGTGTTTTAGCCTGCCTGAGACACGGGTAAGGTAACTTTTATGCTGTGCCAAGGTCTAGGTTAGTCAGACACAAAACCCGTCCACCGTGACCTAACCTCAGAGATCCCAAACACATGCTCTTAAAAACCAACAGCAGTGTTTTCTTTATAATTCTGGAACAGCTTTCTGACTCTGCTCTTGCTGTCATTTTACTGAAAAGCAGAGAAGGAGAAAGAAAAGAAGAAGAAGAAGTATGGGGGGTGTGGCGGGATTTAGCCTCCAAAGAAATTAATTTTTTGGGTGTTTTTCTGTGTAAAAGGGTAGACACTATTCATTCTTGCTTAACGAGCACATTTAATTTGAAGGCTCTTGGTTCTGATCAGATTTCAGACAACCAGTAAAGATTCCTACTGGGCAATAAAATAGCCAGGGCTGCAATCTGCCACCCATCTGCCCTCTGCAAAGAACCCATCCAGCTCTTCCTAAGGGCAATATTGCTATCTCTGCCGTCAGCCTAGCTTTGGAATTATGCAGAAAAGCCAACCCACCAAAGCTCAGTCACTCCCAGTTTCAGCCTTTTGGGGAACTTATTGCTCTCTCTTACTGGCCAAATGTACCTAGAAAGAAAATATCCAAATAGAGACTTTTTAATGTTCATCAGGAAAGTGAATCTCTATAAATATGGCACATGAAGCCAAGACCCTTCTTGAGTACATCCTACCTAAATGGAGAATCAGGAAATGAGTCTGAAATGGCAAATGCTCTAATTACTGCTCTTGGGAAAATGCCCTTTCTGATAGCACAGAATGTGACCTTCATTGCCACATGGTCCATAGAAAGCTAGGCAGACTGTCCAGGCATTCAAAAACCCCTGACTATTTTGCCCCACCCCCACCCCCACTTTGTTACTATTCCATAGTAGCTATGTACTGCCTGGGGCTAGCTTGTTTGATCTGCAGCTGCAGAAACAAAGCCATTTAAACAAAATGTAAAAGGTTATGAAGAGGAAGAGAGAGTTAGTGAGGTCTGAACAAAGAGTGAAATATAGGCTTTTACACCAAAGGAAGGCTTTAAATTGAATGTATCTTCAGGAAAAATCAATTTGCCTTTTCCTTTCTTGTCATAATTTCTCCATGCAACATGACTCTTGCCAATTACTGAAGGGTGTATTGTTGCATAAATTCTTGCACAGTGAAGTTTATCCTACAAAATAATCACATAATGCAGCATCTGTGATGTCACAATCGGTTTCCATGGTGATGAGGAAAAAGAGAAGCAAAGAATGGGGCAATGGGGGCGGATCACACCAGTGACATGAGAGTTGCTCTGGTAGCAGTGGAAATGCTACTTGTAAAACCATCCTTAGCTCCAGGATCGTAGAGCTATCACTGAGACAATTGCGCAGTGAGTGACAAGAGAGATAAGCGGAGAATGTGAGCCATCTATGAGACAGGTATCTTTTCAGAAACATAATTTTACAACAGCCATTAAAGAGAGTAGCAAAAGAATCAACAAGCATGCAAGGGTGAAAATTAAGAAACATAAAGCCAAAAAACAAACTGAGAAGCTACAGCTTTCGTCTAGTCTCAGTCACACATCCTGCCTCTTCCTACCTGATCTGCCATCTCGCTGAATGTCCACATGGTACCATTCCCCATCATTGGCTTTCTTCTGAGTGGCTTTCACTTTGATGGTGCCAGAGCCCATGTCAAGCAGCAAGTACAGGTTGCCATCGAGGAGTTCCACGGCAAAGAAGTCTACTTTTGTATTCTTCTGGCTCCGAGCATCCTTCCTCTCTTGGGGCTTTCCATGAGTGAAGAGGATCAGGCCATTGGGCTCTGTGGTGCGGAAGTCAAAGGAGATGGAGCCCATACGTTTAGTGTTCCACTTGGGCAAGCTGATGTAAGCCTCTGGGGTCTCAAAGTTGATGGGGTCCAGTGTGGCCACATTCTCACACTTAAACACAACTTCGCCATAGATTTTCATCTTGGTGTCCGCAATCCGGGCCAGGCGAGACAGCTCCAGACGGATGTCATTATTCTTATAAACAACCTGTCAAAAGCCAAACAAAAGTGCCATGTGAATCAATCTTGCAAACAGTATCCATCCATCACTCACTGGGCACCTGGAAAAATGACCCAAAAAGAGGCTTCAGGACATAGCCCAAAACAACATGAGAAACAATGAGACACAGGAACCAAAAAGGTATCTGAAGAAACATCTGATGTGCACACAAGCTCCAAAAAAGCCTCTATATTTCTACAGAATTTCTTTTGTCTCCTGGCCAATTTCTTGTGTTGTCAGAAAGTTATACAACATAAGCTTGCAAATAAAAATCAAGAGAGATCGAGTTGCATGGATTCACATACTTCATACAAAGTGATTTACTGAAGCACCCTTAGTAAAATACCAGAAACAACCTAAATGACCATCAATAGCAGATGGCACAGCGTTATAATGGAATATTAGGCAGGCCTTGCAAACAAGGTATTGCTTTTGGTTTTGATGTGGAAGCTCTCCAGGTCACATTGTTAAGTGAAATTGTCAAGGAACAGGATAGAGGGTGCATTATGTTATCATTGTGTAAAAGTGTGGGGGCGTGGGGGCATTATATGTATATATGCTCCAGTAAGCATAAAGTCTCTTTGGAACTATAAAATTGTCATTGGGGAGTATATTTGCGGGATTAATATTCTGGAGTGGGAGGGTGACTTACTTTTCACTGTGCCCTCTTACAGTGTTAGACTTTTTTTCAACCATGTGGATATATTACTTGAAAGAAAAGAGTAAGTGTTAAAAGCTGGTGGGGACAGAGGTCTGTTTTTGTTTTTATTTTTTGCACATTGCATGTGCCCTCTGTACAGTGGTAGAATGAGACACCCTGAAGCCCTATTTCAGCCAGTCAGTCAAGGACATTGATTTAGTTGAGAGTCTGATTTTACAAAGAATACTGAACCAGATACTAATTCACCTTGCAAGGGGGTCCAGCAGAGCTTTCTGCCTCCATGCCCTACCCAAGGTTAGTGTACACTTCTGCAAAGCCATGGCCACTGTCCTGCAGAGTGGGTAGGTAGGTGGAGAACGTGAGGATGGCAGTTAAAAAAATCTGTTATGACTGTCTAACAGCCACTATGGAAAACAGTGTGGAGATCCCTTAAAGAACTAAAAGTAGAACTACCATTTGATCCAGCAATCCCACTACTGGGTATCTACCCAGAGGAAAAGAAGTCATTATAAGAAAAAGATACTTGCACAGGCATGTGTATAGCAGCACAATTTCCAATTGCAAAATTGTGGAACCAACCCAAACGTTCATCAATCAACAAGTGGATCAAGAAAATGTGATATATATATATGAATACTACTCAGCCATAAAAAGGAATGAATTAATGGCATTTGCAGTGACCTGGATAAGACTGGAAACTATTATTCTAAGTGAAGTAACTCAGGAATGGAAAACCGAACATTGTATGTTCTCACTGATATGTGGGAGCTAAGCTATGAAGACGCAAAGGCATAAGAATGATACATGGACTTTGGGGACTTGAGGGGAAGGGTGTGATGAGGGTGAGGAATAAAAGACTACAAATAGGGTGCAGTGTATACTGCTTGGGTGATGAGTGCACCAAAATCGCACAAATAACCACTTAAGAACTTATTCATGTAACCAAACACCACCTGAACCCCAATAACCTATGGGAAAAAAATCTGTTATGACTTTCTAAACCAGGTATAATCCATCTAAAAGCAGAAATTAATCTTTCTCCATGAAATTAGAATTTCAAAAAAGTTTTACTCTTATTTGAACTGAAATTTGATACAGTACCCTGGAATGGTTTTTGGCGCTCTGATCTCTGAGCAATGTCGTATCCATAAAAACTTAATAAGCAGAAAACAATGGAAGGGAAATAGACAAGGATCTGAGTATTGAGCGTCCCAACTATTTTCCTATTTTCTTTATATTACCTTATTCAAATTCTAAGTCAGGACCCAGATTTAGGTTTGAATTCCACATTTACTACTTACAAGCTATGTGACTTTGGCAAAGTAAATTTTCTGAGTCTGTTTCCTCTCCTGAAATTGGGAACATAGGAATAAACAAACTATTTATTTTGTAATAATAAAATGATTTAAAACATGTGAAGCACTTAGGAATGCAATATCATAAGGGCACAAAAGTCGCAGCTATTTGGAGGGTTATTGTTAATCTCATTTCGCTATTTCCACAGCCCTGAAAAGGTTGCATTATCATCTCCAAAACAACAATGGCTAATTTCTAAAATAAGCCTCATCTGTCCATATCTGTGAGACAAAGTTAATTGGATGGGTCACTCCAGCACATATCATATAATCCCCAATATTTAAATGTAGAATTAGTTCCCATCTCTCATCACCAGGAGAGAATCAAGCAAAGCTGTTTGCATTCTAATGGATATTACAAGAGTGATATATAACTATGGCGAAGCATTGAAAATGACTCACTATTATGTAACCTTGACCGTGGACCTAACCATAGTCAATAACATTGAAAATAATGATACTAACACTTATTAAGCACCTACCACCAGGCACCATGGTAAGGATTTAACACCTCTCCATCCCATTAGATACAGACAACACCCATTTGAGATACCTGTAATCATTGCCTTATTTTACAGATGCAGAAACAGACACAGAGAGCAGTTAGGGAACCGGCCCACAGGCACACAGCTGATAAGTGGCAGAGCAGGACTTGAACCTAGGCATTTGGGCCCCAGGGTCCATATGCTCAGAACCAGGCCCCACTAGCAGCACCTGTGAGGCTTATCTTTAACATTACATGGAAAGTCATGCATGCTCAACTTCACAATTCAAAAGCTGAATTTTTCATTTTAGCTAAACTGGGCTGACCATGTGCAAAGGGAAATATTGCAGGATCCTCAGGCAATCACTCAAGTGAGTAAACCAGAAAAGAAATCATAAAAGTTTAATGAGTGTCAGCTTCTCCTTTCTAACCTTCACTATTATACCTTAGCATGTGAGAACTCTTTGTCATAAACAAACTTTGGCTTTTTCTGCATTTGGGTTAAATGCCTGTGACTAGAGTTCCTAGTAAAGGTTAATTATTAATGTATAACAATAGGTCATCCCAAAGGGACAGAAGGAGGTTTGGCTCCATGGAACAATAAATAGAAAGAGAGATCAGGCATTGCTACAGCAGGCTGGGGACAGAATAAAAAGGAGGGAAAAAAAAGCCTTTTAACAAGATACAAGAGCAGTGAAGAGGAACTCTTCTGTGAGAAGGGTACCTAACTGAGACTGGGAGAGAAGGTGAATAGCCGGAATGAAGATTTCTGAAGACATAGGTAAGAGAAGCAAGGGCCAGAAACTGGCCAGACAGAGATAACCAGACTTCTCTCAAAGGCTCTTTGAGGGTGAGTGCTCTATCTACTCCATGGCCCTGAAATTACCTGTCTATTTATATGGAGTTTTCACTGTTGTGAATAAAAAGCCAACACCACTCTCACTGACAGCTGAATAACCCTTCTGAGTCCCATTTTATTTATTCCAAAGGTAAGAGCCTCGATATCTGTTCCACAAACTGTCCCTCTTTCCCAGCTCACAGGGCTGTTGTCAAGATCAAGTGGGATGTTAGACATAGTAGGACACAGACAATTCTAAACCGGCACACAAACCTAGGAAGAAATAATCCTATATCTTCATCTCCCATGGTGTTGGGGTTCTGTTGGAAATGGATAGGGTCCTGAATTGAGGTTCTGTGAAGGTTTATCTACCAAGAGGAAAAGGACAGGAGGGCAAGGGACTTGTAGCCCAGTGATGCTCAACTGGGACTCTCCATTGTTAATATCTTCACCTTCCCCACCTGCTCTGTGCAGAACCACAGCCACAGCCACGCAGAAGTGTACTGGCACCCTGGGTCAGCATGGAGGCAGGAAACCCTGCTGGACCCCCTTACAAGGCAAATTATTGTCTGGTACAATGTTCTCTGTAAAATCAGACTGTCAACTAAATGAATGTCCCCAAATGGCTGGCTGAAATAGGAAGAGATGTGGCATCAAATGACAGAAAGCAGCCTTGGCTGACAAGTCGCCTCGGTGAGGAGCAATTAAAGACAAAGTAGAAACGGCTCCCCATGGGGGAAGATGTCACACAGACTGGGAGGTACAGAAGCAGAGTCACAAACAGTGACAAGCTGGTCTTACTATCCCACCCATGGGCTTGTAAAGACTGCTGTTTGGACACGTGACTCATGCTTAGGAGACCAGACAGTAAAACAGCTGAGGACAGAATCTCAAAGTTAAGACAAAGTCTCTCAGGAAAAAAATATACTTATATTCCTCCATGATCTTTAATACAGAGACACACAGGAGCAATACCAGGAGTAAAGCAAGCTGAGAGCCGGAACAATATAAGAAAAGAGCCTACCATGTGCCAGGTACTTTGCAAACACTGTTTTATATCATACACAATAAGCAAATGAAATAGGTAGCATTAGCCCCATTTTACAGACATGGAGTTCAGCAGGGATACATACTTGCCCAAGATCATGTAGGCTATTAAATGCATAAACAGAACTTGAGCCCTTATCTCTCTGACTGCACTGGGGTAAGGATATGCTCCAGAGAGGGCAATTTCTAGGCCCTCCTGTACCCCATGCCTACACACAAAGCAGAAACCCCTTAGTCACGCACAAAAACCACACCCAAGTCCATCTTGATGTGCAAAGCCCTTCCCCTCCTGCACAATCCATTTCTAATGGATGTCTATACCTCCCCGCTTAGGGGTCACCTCAAAGGTTTCTGTATGAACCCAGGTGTTATTGCTTCTGCATTCTTGTTCACTGGGTTTCCTAGGCTGCAGTGCCTTTCTCTTCTCTCCAGCCTCTCTAAATGGTGCTCCTTCCCTAGGATTTTCAAATCCATTTGAGAATTTCCCTGGCTACTCTGGTACTTGGTGATCCCACAATCTGATAAATCAGAATCCTTTTATTACCTACCAATGAGGAAGCTGTCTGCCCTCTTGCCCAACCCACTTGATTGGAAAAAGAGAGAGTATTCTAACCCTACATGATGCACTTATTACTTCAAATTCTTCCAAGGTATTTGAGTTAGAAGGCAGGTGCATGAGAATAAACTAAGAATTAGAGACAGTCCCCACTCAGAGAAGTATTTTCTTCTCTCCCTCTGCCATCTTATCCCAGGCCACTCTGTTCTCAACTTTCTGAGAATGTGTTTCCACGTGTTCTGTTGTAAATGCCCCATCCCTATGCACTCCAGCAAGGGAACTAGAAAGAATGAGGGGATGTGGGCATGTGCCCTGGAGTGCCCAGATGGCTTCTTGGCACTATTTCTCCTGACAAGGAATAGGAGGTTTACCACCTGGTCTTTCTTTTCTCTTGTTTTTAAACTATCTGCATAGAGGACAACTTCAATAAAAAACACCAGGTCAGCGGATAAGACCATGTCACTCACAGGTTTGTGACTTGAGGCCTGAGCACCAATGATCCACTCCACATCAGTGGAGAATGTTGGAAAGTAAGGACGCTGTGGACATTTTCTGAAGTTGGAGAAATGGAATGGTGGAGAAGCCAGTATTGGGGTACCATGAGTGGAGCAGAGTTGACTACAAATCTCAATAAAGCTTTTCAACTGTATACCTAACTGCAAAGTCATTTACTCACAACAAGCAAAAAAATAAATATATACTTATCTCCCTTCCAAATTTAATCCTTTGACAATAGATAATAATGAAATGAACTTATTCTCTTCAGCTTCCAGGATGATACAGCTTCTAGATAAAACTTCTGGGCTAATCTTATTATTGCATAACGTTCCTACTCAGGGTAAAAGAATGACTAAGAAGTGTTGTGAAAGAATCTTGCTTCTGGGGTCTCCACGGAATCACACATCCCACTGTCTCTGCCCCACTTCCCTTCTCTCCCTCAGGCAGCTGATGACTTGGGCCTGCTGTGATTTCTCCCTCCGCTAAACTGTCCACTCCACTCACTCATCACTTAAAACTCTCTCAACTTTGTTATCTTTGTACAGCACAAGTCTTGTCTTTTCAATAGATTTCGAACACCTTATGAGCAAGAAATATGAATTACACCTTTTAACATCTGAAATTGCTCCTAACTATATAGGTGCTTAACAAATGTTCATATCTTTATTAAATTAGATGTTAGATTGAAGTAGCAGTTTAGTGCCATGGTCATGATTATGGCCTTTGGAGACACCCTAACCAGGGTTTGGACACCTTACCAACTGTGTTACATTGGGCACGATATTTAACTTGTCTCAGCCTATGTTCTTATACTGTAGAATGTAGATAATATCTTACCACATAGGACTGTAAGAAATAAAGGAGATGATGGTCCCACATATAAAAGTACTTCACATAGTTTCTGACCCTTGATAAGCACTCAATAAGTGATGGCGATCACTATTAATTTTGTTATTTACTGAGAAAAGCCAGAATAAATCAACAGACAGTATAGCATGGAGTCATTAAGAAGGAAAGATTCAGGCTGGGCAAAGGGGCTTTCGCCTGTAATCCCAGAACTTTGGGAGGCCAAGTCAGGTGGATCACTTGAGGCCAGGAGTTCAAGACCAGCATGGCCAACATGGTGAAACCCCATCTCTACTA